>NC_000006.12:60529934-60829934 GCF_000001405.40 Homo sapiens
TGGAAAACTTGCAAAATAAATTTAAAAATGAAAAAATCTCATTTTAAGTTGATTTTTTATATTTTGCTCTAATAATTCAAGAGAAGTAGACAGGCCAGATAGGCAGACTGGCAGAAATCTGGCCTCTGTGGTTGGCTGGCATTTATACAGGTCTTTCATATATGATTTAATAAAAGGTGACACGAAATTCAGAAATGTAATCTATAAGACAATCAGAAAAGCAATTTTTGAAGCACATTCTTGTCAGTATTGTATAATGCCTGTTCTGTAACTGTAATTTTTTTGTGTGTATCTGTCAAATGACATTAAGCTATATTCAATAATGAGGATAGCAAGAATTTGAGACCCCATGTTCATTTCTTTTTGTGACAGGAAGATCAGCCTTTTAAAACATAAAAAAGGAATAGAAATTAACATTTCTCCAGAATTATGTTTCCATTCATTTGAGGTTATCTCTTAATTCCAGCATTTTACTGCATTTGATAAATAGGCCAAATATGTGTTTTATTTATTTGAGGGCTTGGGGGAGGCAATGAAACTTTACAAATTTCAACTGGCATTGCAGTCTGCTGATAAGGATGGGAGTTTGCACCGCTCTGAAGAGATTACATGAAGTAGAGTTGGAAAGCAAATTGTATTTACAAAAGATAGGATGATGTTCCTAATAGGTGTTCAGAATAGGCTATTCACTCTCATATTCTGCTGAGCTTTGCTAGAAATAACTTCATTTCAAAAAGGACAAATCTGACTGAAGGTAAAAGCATTCCCTCTTCACAGATACTTGTCCAAAAGGGTTTACATTAAATTTTCCTGATGGGCACACAGCAGTATTTTATGCTGTATCTGTATAAACCATTAACGTGGAAAATAAATATCTAAACAGTATACTTGATTGCTTCATGCACCAACCATTAGATTACTAGATTTCTATCTACAGTTTTTGGAGAGATGTTGCAATATGATGTTCTGACAATAACTGTCAAAGTCATCATACCAGGATCCATTTTCATCTTGCTGTTGAGGTAAAGTTACAAAAATGTACAGTTGGTAGGTCAGAAAGATCACTATCTCTTGTCATCTGTGGTTTAATGCTGACCTAAACCACTACTGTATAATGTCAGAATTATCACAGTGTCCAGGCTGCAGAAGTACAACATGCTACATGATTTATTGCATTTCCTGTCTGGAATGAAGATTATGAAAAGGCCAACAGCTGTGAGCTACAGTGGTTTAGAAGAAAACTTAATTTCTAATTTTTATTTGTCTTTTTCCTCATTCATTTTAGATTTTGGATTTAGTAAAGGGGACACATTACCAGGTAGCCTGTCAAAAATACTTTGAGATGATACACAATGTAAGTATTTTTTTAACTTTATATCCTAATTATTTGTCTTTTGTTACTGTGTCACATTCAGGGTTTTTAGTTGCAGCAATGGAAACCACTCTAGCTATTTTCAGCAGAAAAGGGGATTGCATGGTATTAAGTAACTTACAGCATTTATTGAACGACCAGACAACTAAGCTTGGATGCTGCAGAACCAGGAATATTTTGTAACTAGGAGAAGCTACCTCATGAGAAAATCTTTACTACAGCTGTCACCCACCACTCCATATCTAGGGATGAGCCCAAGGGTCAATAAAGTTTTTCTGTAAAGAGCCAGAGTGTAAAAATTGTAGGCTTCATGGTCCATATGGTCTGCGTCACAGCTACTCAACTCTACTGTTGTAGTGCAAAAGCAGCTGTAGAAAATATGCAAATGAACAGGTATGACTGTTGATCCAATAGAACTCTATTGATAAAATTAGGTAGTAGACCCAGTTTGACCCACAGGCCTTGATTTGCCAACCTCTAGACTAGATCTGGAATCTTTGCCACAGCTGCCTAGAAGAACCAAGGCTTTTGCCATCTTCCATGCAGAAAATCTGATCCTTGTACTTGTGGCTGCCACCTGATGTTACTGTAATCCACTTCCCAAGTCTCATACTTATCTGCATGGCAAAACCTAGATTGCATGTGGACCCCTAACTATACACGAGTCAGGGAAATGTGTTTGGTTTTTATCTTGCCAGCTTCCTTAGTACAAAAAAGCCTGCTTGATTATTAGAGTAAGAGTGGGATGACCCAGTCTGGCACAGAATAGATTTTGAAGTGTGTAAAGCCAATGTCACAAACTCAGAGGCCTACAGAGATTGGGCATATAGCCCAAAAAAGTGAAGCTGCCTGAGATTAGTACCACAGAGTATAGCAGAATTATGGTGCACTAAACATGTTTGCCCTATTAGAGGCATTCACATTGACAAATTGTGAGGCCCTCTGCAGGCCAACAAAACACATCTCCAAGTCCAATTCAGTCCTCTGGCCCTAGTTTGCATCCACTGATCCTGAGCCTGGATTTCTAACCTGGGAAAGACATCCAAGAACGGACTTTGGAGATCCTTGTACTTCTTGAAACATTTTGTCTCTAAGTACATATGTGTATTTTTCCATAGTCCATGTTATTTATTAAAGATCCATGACCCTCCCAAAAAGGAAGTTGCGTTTGTTGAAATCATCATCAGCTACCATGCTAAAGTTTTACAATTATTTTTATGTTTTTTATTTGGTTGTTACAAAGTAGTTTTTCTATTATGGTTATATAATTGCAGAATTTCTAACTTGATAAAATATCTCATAGGAAAAAGATATTTTATAATATTACCAATAATAATTAAAATAATAATAGTAATACCAGCCAATATCTATGGAACCCTTAATGCAGCGGTCCCCAACCTTTTTGGCACCAGGGACCAGTTTCATGGAAGACAATTTTTCCATGGTTAAACAGGGGCTGGTGGGAGGGCACATTAGATAATCACGAGAAACACGCAACCTAGATCCCTTGCATGCGGGGTTCACAATAGGGTTCACACCCGCATGAGAATCTAAGGCCACTGCTGATCTGACAGGAGGTGGAACTCAGGCAGTGATGCAAGTGATGGGGAGTGGCTGTAAATACAGATGAAGCTCCACTCACTCACCCACTGCTCACCTCCTGCTGTGAGGCCCAATTCCTAACGGGCCGCGGACTGGGTTGGGAACCCCTGCCTTAATGTATACCAGGCACAGCACTAAAATTTTTGAATGCATTAGCTCTTTTGATTGACATGACAGCAAGATACTATATGTATATTTCCCTGTCTGTGAATAAAACTTAGAGAAGTTAAACAATCTGTGTGGGGTCACACTACTTATAGGGGATAGAACTTAGATTTAAATTCAAGCTGTCTAACTCATCTAAAGCTTGTTAGCATAACTATGACTGTACTGTTCTATGATATTTGGTACTAAATTTGTGATAATGACAGCAGAGGTAATTGGCATTTTCCTGTTTATCTTCATAGCATGGTAAACAGGTAGGGACTCTAACTTGCCTTACATGCTGTAATTGATTAATGGAAGATCTGGAGCTAGAGCCCCAGTCTGTTGTGGGTCCTGTCCTCACTCTTCTATACCTAACTTTTGAAAGTATTATTCTTATTTAAAAGCTTTTTTTAAAACAAAACTCAAGGAGTAAACATCAAGAAAATAGCAACAACAAAATCTCATTAGTTTTATCACACTAGGAATCTCGCCAGATAAGCCATGTTTGGCAACACCAGGTTTATATGAGTCACTCTCTCGGAGACTGCATTCTTTAATTTGGTTGCTCCGCTTGAGAGTTTTAATTTCCTATTGTTCTTTAATCATTTGTGGATGCTTTTAATTAAGAGGCCTCAGAATTTTCACAAGTGAAGTCTATTATCCAACCTCTTTTTATAAAAATAAGATATGAAAATTAGATTTAAACATTGAGTTTGTGGCATAATCACCAAAAAGTAAGGAGTGGTTTTTATTTCTCAAATCTGCTTTTGTAATATCTCTCCTATTGATTATTCCCTCAAGTATTGCCACTATTGCCAATTTTTAAAACTTGTTTTAGATTAATGAAGATTTTGGAAAGACATATATCTAAATCCCCTCACATATAAAAATAGTCAACTTAAACCACACTTAAATCAACAAAATAAAAAGGCTGTTTGTATTCACTAGATCTCTCACTGTGGACTTTTAGATGTGAATATCCTCCTTCATTTATATTTTTTCTAATTTAATTTAAAAATAGAATCTATTTTTATTGTCAGGTTTCTGCCATCCTACCCCTCCCCCAAATAAAATCCTATGTTTATTTTCCCGAGGCCTCTGTGATCAAACTTACTTAAATGGAAGTTTTGAAAATAAACCAGTTAATTGATACCATTTGCAGCAGCACTATGATAGTTCCATATGGCTTTTTTGGTAATACCAGCTGCCTCATTATAAGCTGTCATTGCAAAACCTCTTGATTAAAACCCAAATATCCCATAGGTAAAACAATATTGCTTTCATTCCTTCAAAATCTACATTTGCAGTGGCAGAAATATGAGACCCATGTTTGTGTGAAGGTCATTGTGTGCAGAATGTGCTGATTCCAAGCAAATGTTTGAGAGAGATTTATTTAGTAGATGTTAAAAGCTGGCCTGCTTGAAACCTGTTTTCCTCTGTATTTTTAGGGTCAATGTTTAAAATAATTTTATACTAATAGTATAGTCTTTACTTTCTGCATGTTCCATGTATAAATGAAAACACTAGGTCATGTGTAGATTAACCACAGAATTTTAATAGAAAATAATGTTTTCAGAGGTAGACCTCTTTGGACACTGAGTAACTGTGGGTACTTATTTTCCAAATGGCTGAGCATAATTTTTCCCCACCATATAAATCTCTAGAGAAATCTTATTAAAACCTATCACACATTTTCCTGAAATCTTAAACAGGATATATGTGATACAATTAAGCCCTTTTATAATAACTCAGGGTCATCATTATGGATATCAGTTAGAATGCTGGACTAGAAGCCACCATCATCTCACTTGGATCACTGCAATAGCTTCCTAACTCGTTTCCCAGCATCTACACATGCCCCATTCCAATTCTTTCTCCTCCACACAGCTGCTGGAGTGACCTTTAAAACAGAGAAATCTGATCATTTCAGGAACCTGCTTTTTAAAAACTTCAATGGCTTCCTATTTCTCTTAAGATGAAATCTAAAATGTATAATGTATCCTCTAAAGGCCTCCACTCCACCCACCTTCCTCTAGACTCCTAAATTTGTTTCAGATCCTTTACAGGACTTTGGACCTGAAACAGTAGGACCAAGCTAGTGTGGTAGAATGCAAATGCTTCACAGAATTTTCCCATCTCAATACATAAAATAATGCACAAAACACAATTTTTTTTAAATCATCAACCACAAAGAAAAACATCAGCAATAGTAACCAAAAAAGAAAACAGGCAAGGAAAGAAACAAAAGAGTCACAGTAGACAAAGTCATGAAAATGCTCACTTAATATTTCCAAACAGAGTAAAGGAAATAGCTGCTGACTTGAGAAGAAATAAGTGAAATGGAGGATTTAGATGTAGATACCTCTATTTCTCTATTCCTTTTCCTAATTTAATTTTAAAGTGAAGATTTCCATTCTGTTTAGTTTATACTCTTCCCCTTCCCCCCACATACAAAAAAACCCCCTAAGTTTATTTTCCTAAACAAGACAAAAGGAAACAGCCATATGCACTTCCTTTAAAAATGAAAGTGAAAGAAACAGAACACAAAGAACTCATCCTGGAAGAAAATAGAATTCTATAAAAAGGAAACTTCATCATTTCATTTTGCTATCAAGCAACTTAGTAGATCACAAAGAGCTTCACAAAATGAGTTAAGGACAATTGCAGATCAAGAAAAAGGAGAAACAGCATCACAGAGCCATGGCACAAATCCTCACTTCAAGGCCCTTGGCACTGTTTTAGTGGTTAATAAAAAAAGATTAATTATCTCTGAAAAAAAGGCAGCAGCCCCAGTCAGGGGCTTATAGATAAAATCCCCATCTCCCTGGGATGGAGCACATGTGGGAAGGGGCAGCTGTGGGTGCAGCTTCAGCAGACTTAAACGTTCCTGCCTGCCAGCTCTAAAGAGAGCAGCAGATCTCCCAGCATAGCATTTGAGCTCTGTTAAGGGACTGCCTCCTCAAGTGGGTCCCTGACCACCATGTCTCCTGACTGGGAGACACCTCCCAGCAGGGGCCGACAGACACCTCATACAGGAGAGCTCCGGCTGGCATCTGGTGGGTGCCCCTCCGGGACGAAGCTTCCAGAGGAAGGAACAGGGTGCAATCTTTGCTGTTCTGCAGCCTCCACTGGTGATACACAGGCAAACAGGGTCTGGAGTGGACCTCCAACAAACTCCAGCAGACCTGCAGCAGAGGGGTCTAACTGTCAGAAGGAAAATTAACAAACAGAAAGGAATACCTTCAACATCAATAAAAAGGACATCTACTCAGAAACCCCATGCAAAGTTCACCAACATCAAAGACCAAAGGTAGATAAATCCACAAAGACTGGGAGAAACCAGCGCAAAAAGGCTGAAAATTCCAAAAACCAGAATATCTCTTCTCCTCCAAAGGATCACAACTCCTCACCAGCAAGGGAATAAAACTGGATGGAGAATGAGTTTGACAAATTGCCAGAAGTAGGCTTCAGAAGGTGGGTAATAACAACTTCCTCCGAGCTAAAGGAGCATGTTCTAACCCAAGGCAAGGAAGCTAAGAACCATTGAAAAAAAGTTAGAGGAAATGCTAACTAGAATAACCAGTTTAGAGAACATAAATGACCTGATGGAACTGAATAACACAGCAAGAGAACTTCATGAAGCATACACAAGTATCCATAGCCAAATTGATCAAGTGGAAGAACAGATATCAGAGATTGAAGATTAACTTAATGAAATAAAGCAAGAAGACAAGATTAGAGAAAAAAGAATGAAAAGGAATGAACAAAGCCTCCAAGAAATATGGGACAATGTGAAAAGACCAAACCTATGTTTGATTGGTGTACCTGAAAGTGACCGGGAGAATGGAACCAAGTTGGAAAACACTTCAGGATATAATCCAGGAGAACTTCCCCAACCTAGCAAGACAGGCCAACATTCAAATTCAGGAAATGCAGAGAACATCACAAAGATGCTCCTCGAGAAGAACAACCCTGAGACACATAATTGTCAGATTCGCCAAGGTTGAAATGAAGGAAAAAATGTTAAGGGCAGCCAGAGGGAAAGGTCAGGTTACCCACAAAGGGAAACCCATCAGACTAACAGCAGATCTCTCTGCAGAAACCCTACAAGCCAGAATAGAGTGGGAGCCAATATACAACATTCTTAAAGAAAAGAATTTTCAACCCAGAATTTCATGTGCAGCCAAACTAACCTTCATAAGCAAAGGAGAAATAAAATCCTTTACAGACAAGCAAATGCTGAGAGATTTTGTCACTACTAGGCCTGCCTTACAAGAGCTCCTAATGGAGGCGCTAAACATGGAAAGGAACAACTGGTACCAGCAACTGCAAAAACATATCAAATTCTAAAGACTATCAACACTATAAAGAAATTGCATCAACTAATGGGCAAAATAACCAGCTAGCATCATAAGGACAGGGTCAGATTCACACATAACAGTATTAACTTGAAATGTAAAGAGGCTAAATGCCCCAGTTAAAAGACACAGACTGGCAAATTGGATGAAGAGTCAAGACCCATCAGTGTGCTGTATTCAGGAGACCATCTCACAGGCAAAGACACACATAGGCTCAAAATAAAGGGATGGAGGAATATTTACCAAGCAAACAGAAAGCAAAAAAAAAAAAAAAAAAAAAAAAAGCAGGGATTGCAATCCTAGTCTCTGATAAAACAGACTTAAAACCAACAAAGATCAAAAGAGAGAAGGGCATTACATAATGGTAAAGGGATCAATGCAAAAAGAAGAGCTAACTATCCTAAATATATATACACCCAATACAGGAGTGCCCAGATTCATAAAGCGAGTTCTTAGAGATGTACAAAGAGACGTACACTCAAGCACAATAATAGTGGAAGACTTTAACACCCCACTGTCAATATTAGATCAACGAGACAGAAGATTAACAAGGATATTCTGGACTTCAACTCAGCTCTGGACCAAGTGGACCTAATAGACATCTACAGAACTCTCCACCCCAAATCTACAGAATATACATTCTTCTCAGCACCACATTGCACTTATTCTAAAATTGACCACATAATTAGAAGTAAAACACTCCTCAGCATATGCAAAAGAATGGAAATCTTAACAAACAGTCTCTCAGACCACAGTGCAATCAAATTAGAACTCAAGATTAAGAAACTCACTCAAAACCGCACAACTACATGGAAACTGAACAGTGTTCTCCTGAATTACTACAGGGTAAATAATAAAATTAAGGCAGAAATAAATAAGTTCTTGAAACCATTGAGAACAAAGACACAACGTACCAGAATCTCTGGGACATAGCTAAAGCAGTGTTTAGAGGGAAATTTATAGCCCTAAATGCCCACAAGAGAAAGCAAGAAAGATCTAAAGTCGACACCCTAGCATCACAATTAAAAGAACTAGAGAAGCAAGAGCACACAAATTCAAAAGCTACCAGATGGCAAGAAATAACTAAGATCTGAGTAGAAATGAAGGAGATAGAGACACAAAAAACCCTTCAAAAAATCAATGAATCCAGAAGCTGGTTTTTTGAAAAGATCAAAAAAATAGACTGCTAGCCAGACTAACAAAGAAGAAAAGAGAGAAGAATCAAATAGATGCAATAAAAAATGATAAAGGCGATATCACCACTGATCCCACAGAAATACAAACTACCATCAGAGAATACTCTAAACACCTCTACACAAATAAACTAGAAAGTTTAGAAGAAATGGATACATTTCTGGACACATACACCTTCCCAAGACTAAACCAGGAAGAAGTCAAATCCCTGAATAGACTAATAACAAGTTCTGAAATTGAGGCAGTAATAGCCTATCAACCAAAAAAAAGCCCAGAACCAGACAGATTCACAGACAAATTCCACCAGAGGTACAAAGCAGAGCTGGTACCATTCTTTCTGAAACGATTCTAAACAACAGAAAAAGAGGGAGTCCTCTCTAACTCATTTTATGAGGCCAGCATCATCCTGATTCTGAAACCTGGCAGAGACACAACAAAAAAAGAAAATTTCTGGCCAATATCCCTGGTGAACATCGATGCAAAAAATCCTCAATAAAATACTGGCAAACTGAATCCAGCAGCACATCAAAAAGCTTATCTACCATGATCAAGTCAGCTTCATCCCTGGGATGCAAGGCTGGTTCAACATACACAAATCAATAAACATAATCCAGTGCATAAACAGAACCAATGACAAAAACCACATGATTATCTCAATAGATACAGAAAAGGCCTTCAACAAAATTCAACATCCCTTCATGCTAAAAACTCTCAATAAACTAGGTATTGATGGCACATATCTCAAAATAGTAAGAGCTATTTTTTGACAAACCCACAGCCAATATCATACTGAATGGGCAAAAACTGGAAGCATTCCCTTTGAAAACCGGCACAAGACAAGGATGCCGTCTCTCACCACTCCTATTCAACACAACATTGGAAGTTCTAGCCAGGGCAATCAGGCAAGAGAAAGAAACAAAAGGTATTCAAATAGGAAGAGAGGGAGTCAAATTGTCTCTGTTTGCAGATGACATGATTCTACATTTAGAAAACCCCGTTATCTCAGCCCAAAAACTTCACAAGCTGATCAGCAACTTCAGCAAAGTCTCAGGATACAAAATCTCTGTGCAAAATCATAAGCATTCCTATACACCACTAATAGACAGAGACCCAAATCATGAGTGAACTTCCATTCACAACTGCTACAAAGAGAATAAAATACCTAGCAATACAACTTCCAAGGGATATGAAGGACCTCTTGAAGGAGAACTACAAACCACTGCTCAAGGAAATAAGAGAGGACACAAACAAATGGGAAAACATTCCATGCTCATGGATAGGAAGAATCAATATCGTGAAAATGGCCATAATGCGCAAAGTAATTTACAGATTCAATGCTATGCCCATCAAGCTACCATTGACTTTCTACACAGAATTAGAAAAAAACTACTTTAAATTTCATATGGAACCAAAAAAGAGCCCACATAGCCAAGACAATCCTAAGCAAAAAAAAAAAAAAAAAACAACAACGCTAGAGGCATCACGCTACCTAACTTCAAACTATACTACAAGGCTACAGTAACCACAACAGCATGGTACTGGTACCAAAACAGATATATAGACCAATGGAACAGAACAGAGGCCCCAGAAATAATGCCACAGATCTATAACCTTCTGATTGTTGACAAACCTGACAAAAACAATCAATGGGGAAAAGATTCTCTATTTAATAAATAGTTTTGAGAAAACTGGCTAGCCATATGCAGAAAACTGAAACTGGACCCCTTCCTTACAACTTATACAAAAATTAACTCAAGTTGGATTAAAGACTTAAACGTAAGACCTAAAACCATAAAAACCCTAGAAGAAAACCTAGGCAAAACCAATCAGGACATAGGCATGGGCAAAGACTTCATGACTAAAACACCAAAAGCAACGGCAACAGAAGCCAAAATTGATAAATGAGATCTAATTAAACTAAAGAGCTTTTGCACAGCAAAAGAAACTATCATCAGAGTGAACAGGCAACCTACAGAATGGGAGAAAATTTTTGCAATCTATCCATCTGACAAAGGGCTAATATCCAGAATCTACAAAGAACTTAAACAAATTTAAAAGAAATAAACAATCCCATCAAAAAGTGGGCGAAGGATATGAACAGACACTTCACAAAAGAAGACATTTATGTGGCCAACAAACATGAAAAAATGCTCATCATCACTGGTCATCAGAGAAATGCAAATCAAAACTGCAATGAGATACCATCTCATGCCAGTTAGAATGATAATCCTTAAAAAGTCAGGAAACAACAGATGCTGGAGAGGATGTGGAGAAATAGGAATGCTTTTCCACTGTTGGTGGGAGTGTAAATTAGTTCAACCATTGTGGAAGACAGTGTGGCGATTCCTCAAGGATCTAGAACCAGAAATATCATTTGACCCAGCAATCCCATTACTGGGTTGTACCCAAAGGATTATACATCATGCTACTCTAAAGACACATGCACACGTATGTTTATTGTGGCATTGTTCACAATAGCAAAGACTTGGAACCAACCCAAATGCCCACCAATGATAGACTGGGTAAAGAATATGTGGCACATATACACCATGGAATACTATGCAGCCATTAAAAAGGATGAGTTCATGTCCTTTGCAGGGACATGGAAGAAGCTGGAAACCATCATTCTCAGCAAACTAACACAAGAACAGAAACCAAACACTGCATGTTCTCACTCATAAGTGGGAGTTGAACAATGAGAACACATGGACACAGGGAGGGAAATATCACACACCAGGGCCTGTTTTGGGGGGGTGGGGTGCTAGGGGAGAGATGGCATTAGTAGAAGTCCCTAATGTAAATAACAGGTTGGTGGGCACAGCAAACCACCATGGCATGTGTATACCTATGTAACCTGCATTTTCTGCACATGGACTCCAGAACTTTAAGTATAATTTTAAAAATATTAATTAAAATGAGGATTCATTAATGATATGCACATACCTTAAATATTATATCTTAAAGTTAAGATATTTAAATGCCATTTATTAGTTAGAGCAGGGTCTTTTGAGTATCGTTTAGTGTTTGGAATTTGATTTTATCTTTCTTTTATAAACTATACCCATAATACAGCATCAGCAATTTCCAGTTTGGATTCCTTAAAGTAGAAAAGGAACTTGATATATGCAAAGCAATAGGATCTTTCTCCCTCTCCTTCTGTGACTTCCACCTTTTTTTTTAAGTGACTTGCTTTTCTTGACTCTTTAAAAACATTTTATTTAGATTTCATAGAACAACTCTTTTTATTTACATTCATTTTTATTTACTTTTCTCGTAGCAACCCTATGACCTAACACTGTTATCTCCATTTCATAGATGGAGAAACTCAGACTTTAAAAAGATTTTGTGCACATTGAAGTCTAATAAATGTATTGATAACTGACAACTTGAAGCGAGGTACAGAAAATGCCAAGATATTATTATAGCATAAGATACTAGGTTATTTTTGCATGAAATAATACAACTATGTTTTTATAATCTTTGTAGCCAAGTTTATCTCTAGAAATAAAATTTATAATGGAGATATCATTATCAGTATGATTTTGCATACAATCTCTTAAAACAGATTTCAGAGCAACTAATGATCTAGTCAGAAGGCCTGAATTTTAATTCAGACAAAACCAGTTACTAATTCTATGACCTTGAATAAACTATCTATTCTCCTTAGGCCTCTGTACATGGAGGAGATTGAATTTAATGGATTCCCCAAGGTCTTTCTAATCTCTGATTTTCTGTTTACAAACTATTTTACAAACTATAAAGCCTTCTGATTAAAATGTATTAGACAATAAGCATACTTTTTGTGAAACACATTGCAAAATGCAAAATTATATTGGATTTCCCAGTTTTTAATGAGTTGGGTGAAAATTGAATGTAATAAAAAAGTTCATAATAAAAAAGTTCATAAATGATTCCATTGTTAATAAAAATTATAAATATAAAACATTTCAGAAACATTTTGAAATCAAGCAGCTAAGTTAAAAAAATAAAGCAAAGATAAAAATTTGTTCTTAATGATCTATAACTCTTAAAATCAGTCTGTATACTATCCATCTGTTACACACTGGAATTACTATAAAATTACCCTAACATATATTAACAACTAGCAAAAGAGAATCAGAGATTCCTAGGGTGCTTAAATAAGTATTACCAGAAAAGACTCATGTTTCTGTCTGTTGGTCCGTCCACCAATAGGGTTCATTCTAGACCATGGCAGCAACCCCTTTTTCCCTGGCCAATTCATTTTAATCTACTATAAGATTATACATAGCTTTAATCACACCACGTCTCTTTTTAAGGGTTTTTGGTGACTCTGTTGCCTAGAGAATTAGGTCTTGACCACTTACCCTGATTTTCAAGGCTCTCTCAGGCTGGCCCCTGCCTGTCTTTCCAACCTCATTCCTTATTGTTTCCTTGTATGTGCCTTTCATAGTAGGCTATGTGAACTATTTAATATTTGCTTTCCCAGGACATTCCCTCTTTACCTTGCTCATGTGGTCCTGCTGCAAATATTGCCTTTCCCCTCATCATCCCAGCTTTTCACTCTCTCCATCTTTCCAGACGCAACTCAAATAGCACTCCTCTTACAAAGCCTTCCTTGATCTCCTTAGCCGAAATTTCTCTTTACTGTGGAGTGTAATAGGCCTTTATCTGTGACCCTCATCAGTTCTCCATTCTTGGTAGAGGTTTTTAAGTCTGACTTACTGGGTTGGAAATTTGAGTTAGTCAAATGTATTCCTGTATGCTGAATAGCGAATAGTTTATAACACAGTCTTTTATATAGTAAGGCTTTAATTAAATATGCAAAATTATCACTGGTATACACTATTTCTGGGTTCACTTCACCAAATATTTATTAGATACCTACAGTGTGCAAGTCACTTCAGTACGAAGGGTGAGACGTAAAAGGATTAGTTAATACAAGACAGATGAACAAAAGAAATGGAATCACTTCTCAGTTTCCAAAAACTTGATAAATGAAAATACCACCAAAGAAACCAACAGTCACTCACTCAAGCAAAATGATATTTTTGTTGTCAACTCCAACTGCAGAAGGCGAGAAGGCAGGGATTTGAGACTGTGGGAAGTGAAACTGAATATAAGGAGAGATTACTAGAGTGCATAATTTGAAATGATACTCAAAACTAAAGTTTAATGATAGTATTTGAGAAAAAATAACATAAGTTATGAACCAGGCATGTTTGTATTCGGTCACAGTGAAATTTACAAGAAGAGATTTTCTGTAAAAAGACCAAGGAAAGGCCAAGATTAGAATGAACAATTACATTGACTTAGGTTGCTTTTTCAGTTTATATCATACTAAATGAGTGCACATGCCAGACTTACAAGTCAGCTCTAAAACACAAGTGGTATCAGGGACCAGTATCAAAATGATCAAAAATGATTTTACGATCACTTAAAAACCCACAAATATTTATTGGCCTACAATGTGGTAGGCCTTTTGCTTGGAACTGGGGATACAATAATGAATCACACAGGTCCCTAACCTGTGCCTAATATACAATGTCATTCACACACATACACACACACACACACACAGGTTTGTATTCCAAACATATTTTTATAGTTTTCTAATTTTTTGTTTTGACGTAATTGTCAAGCAGAATTGGTAATGTTTTGGGTATTGCCAGAATTGAGGGCTTGGTGTAGATGGGAGGTGGCAGGTGGGAGTTGGGGGCTGGGGAGGTGAGAGAAAGGTGTCTAGTATGCCCCAAGGATGAATGGTGATACCAGTCACTGAGAGCAAAGGATGGGGAGAGGGGAAAGGATACGTTTCCTGTTGGGTTTGAGCTGCCTTTGAGCCATCTTAGATGTTGAGTAGGTGTTGGATATGGGACTGAAACTAGATAGGGAACTGGAGCCAAACACAGAGGCTCAGACTAGAAATATAAATGTGGGAGCCATTTAGGTTTGGGTAGTGGTTGAAGCTCTCTTTGAATGAAATGGTGTAAGTAGCTGATTAAGCGTTAGAATGCAAACAGCTAGAATCCATGTTTCAGGTATTAAGTTTTAAACAAGTACTAAAACAGCTTTTGAAACTCATATATTTATAGCTTTGCCATGTATTAATGCAATATAAATTTCCTTCCTTTACAGGTGGGTGATTGTGGCTTTTCTTTGAATCATCCTAATCATTTCTTTTGTGAGAGCCAACGTATTCTAAATGGTGGTAAAGACATAAAGAAGGAATCTATCCAACCAGAAACTCCTCAACCCAAACCAAGTGTCCAGAAAACCAAGGATGCATCATCTGCTCTGGCCTCTTTAAATTCCTCTCTGGAAATGGATATGGAAGGACTAGAGGATTACTTTAGTGAAGATTCTTAGGCAGTTTTGTAACCCTTTTTCCTCAATAGCCTGTTTCCTGTTTTTAAGATTTTGCCTTTGTTGTTGAAAAAGTGTTGCACTCTGTTGTGTAATTGTGACACAATTACAGCTGATTGCAGCCTCAACCTTCCCAGCTCAAGTGATCCTCCTACCTCAGCCTCCCAAGTAGTTGGGACCACAGGTGTGCACCCCATATCCAGCTATTTTTTTTCAATTTTTTTTGTAGAGGGGGGGTCTCCCTATGTTGCCCAGGCAGATCTCAGACTGCTGGGCTCAAGCGATCCTCACACCTCAGCCTCCCAGAGTGCTGGGATTACAGTTGTGAGCCACTGTGCCTGGCCTTTCTTTTTTTAACCTTTTTGTTTAACTTCTCTCTTCACTGCATCCCAATCCATCTACAGGCATGCACACTTATTAGGAAAGCAGGTTTGAGGTAACGAGACTTTCACTATATTTTGCTTTGACAGAAGGAAAGAGGAAGAGTTTCTATTAAAATCTGTCACTTGAGTGATGTCATTCAAGTCCTATTTTAGGAGATAAAAACACCTTTGGGGACTGGTTAAAGTCCCCCAGAAACTACAATAAAGAACAACTTTTGTTTTAACTCTTAATCATTTTGTAATTTTGACTCAATCCTTTTCTGGACCATTTTTGTTAATAAATATCAAAGTGTACATGACAGTGTCTGCGTATAATTGGGAGAGTCTTATGTCGTAACAGATTGGATATTACTTCAGTTTTAAAGTGGTAATTTGGAGTATCCAACACACTGCTGATCACTAATGAAGATTTTAAACTTTTCTTTAACTTTTTTTAAGAGTTGACCTATTTGTGGTTATTCTACATCAGGCACCAGACTCTCCTGAGTGAACTGTGACTTGGGAATTAAAATAAAGTATAGCCAGTTATATTTATTAAGGAATAATAGGGATATTTTATTATGTAAAATAATGGCACGTCTTATCTGCTGCCATTACTCTGGGGACAGGTTCATGAAGAATAGACAATTACCAAGCAAGAAGATTGTACATATAAAATAAAGTGTTTATTTTACCCTCTAACTTCCATACCTTATTACTTCTGTAGTTGCTGTGAATTACCAAATAGATTTGGTAAATTAATTAACTTCAGCAATGAATAGTGATACTTATAGTAACCCCCTCGTTTCAGTGCCAGCAATGGAATTTAATAAATGTTGTGGATGATTACAGACATACGAGATCAATGCCCTGTTCTCTCTGCCTGCGTTTGTCAAGGGAGTAAGGTGAAGTTGATGATCCCTGGCACGTATGCCTTGTGGAGCAATGCCATTGTGGATACCCTCATCTAAATAGTGATTTCCTCCTGGGGCTCTACTCACTCACCAATAGGATTTGGGGTGCTCAGGAAACCCTGTTTGAAACATAGTTCTTCCTCATCTATTACCTTGTAATGTGTGAAAAGTATTAGTCTATTTCTGTCTTCTTTTCCTGGTAAAGAGGGATACTTTTATCCTTTTGAATCAGATACTAACTAAATTGAAAAGAGCACATTGTATTCAGAAAACTAGACTGTTAGCAGGACCGTATTTTTAATCGTGATAAACTGCATCACGATGAAAAGGATTAAACAGGATCAGATCATCAGAAACTAAAAATGTCAACTAATTGAGTTTTCATTTTAGGCTTCTGAGTCAAAGATTTCTTGGAATATTTAGCAACATATAATTAAAGGAGATACTATCTAAACTTTTACTTGTCTTGGTGAATTATTATTACCTAGTTCAGAAAATAGTATTATTCCACTACAAATTACCCCTATAAATCTCTGCCTTCTGAAACCATCTGCTACTCCCTTCATCATTTGTTGTTCTCAACAGGAATCTGATGATTGCCTACCACTTTATCCATGGACTGCAAAACCACAAGTCCTTTAAAAAAAAATAATAAGAAGAACAAGTGCTACCTGGAGCTGTTTTAACCACAGAATTAAGTTAGCTTTAGAAAGCCGAGCATAGAAATGTAGGTCTTCGTTGTGTTAAAAGGGAGATATTAGAAGCACTCTTGCCACTGTAGTTCAATGAGAAATTTTCTGATAGAATGTTTTGTATCTGGCAGCATTTTGCAAGGCTGTCTTTTTCTACTGCTTCATGTTCTCCTTCTTTTATGAAGCCTGTGCTCCCACCAGCTAAAAGGACAGAGTCATTAATGGCATGGTAGATGCAGCTTACTGGACTGTTTATTTTATACTGGCAGCCCCAGGAATTTGTGTCATCTTACTTGAATGTTTTATATGTGTCTAATTGAACTCCAAAATAACACTAGTTTAAATATTAGTTGTATTACAGGTTCAACTCAATTTATTCATAATAAGGTTTGATCTCCTGTCATGTATTATACAGAAGAATATATAAACATTCTGTGAAATCTATAGATTAGAGGATAGGGGATAGAGGTTTATAAAAGAAGATCAAAATTAATGCTTTTCTGGTGCTTTTTGGAGTTGGAAAAAGCAATTTATTTTTCACGCTTCACAGGTCTTGACAATTTTGATTTGTTTTCTTTGAGAGCAGACCTGTTTGATCTGGGTGATGTAAAGAACCCAAAAGAAAAAATCAAAAGCCAACAGCCTCTTTTCAAAACCGTAGCCAGTGAAAAAGATTATGAGTCTTCCAGATCTTTTAACTGTTAGTCTTTTATTATCTCTTCAAGGAAGAGAGGCTGTATGATTGTATCAAAGACAAAAGAAGAAACAGCAAAAGAAAGAAACTAGGTTGGAAATTTGTAGCTGGTTGAAGCAATGACATTGTTAGGAGAAATTCTGTCATATTTCTTTCAAGTTGTTTTTCCATAATGTTTTTCACTCTGTCCATACAGTAAAAAACTTAATTGCCATGTGCATAAAAGAACACTAGGAAGGTTTTAAGTAAACTTTTTAGGACTGCTTATAATATTATAGAGTCATAAAAGTGAATAGCTATAGATTTCAAATGAGCTGGGAATGGAATAAAGCAATGGGAAAGATCTTTAATTCACATAGAATTTTAATAAGCTAAGGGATTTCTTCTCTCTCTAAAAACATGCCGGGTGTTTTGCTTGTTACACTTTGCTGTCTTATTGATACTCAGGGTCTTTGCAAGCAAACTTCTGTAATTCTTTACAAAGAAGAGAAGAAAACTTCTGGGATTTAAGCTTGAAAGGCGAAATGAGACAACTCTAAAGTTCTGTTTCAGTTAGAGTCTACTCTTTGCAAATTTAATCAAGGTCTTCCATAGGCATCAGCTTGACATTAAATTTAAGTGCCCATTAAAGTGAGAGTTTGACAGCAGTTCTGAATGTGAAGCTCAGTCTGAGGACATCTTTACAGCTGGAAGGGAAAAAAAAAAAAACGTTGAGAAGCCTCAAACCACTGTGGTAATTAGATCCATTTGTTAACTTCTTTTTTAATGTTGGCAAAGGGAGGGAGAGAAAAGGTTGACAGAGGCTGGAATCAGGAAGGCAGTCCAGAGCTCCCTGTAGAAATCGGGTAAGTATGGGTCCTGTATTGCAGAGAATACTGGCAGATATTCCCTCTGACAAATGAGTGAGATGGGGAAGTTATTTTATGAACTTCATTCAGTTTGTCTTCCTTTCAACACACAGAGCCACGGTGTGTGGAAGCTGCGTTTTGGATAGGTGTGCTGGTTTGGTCGTAAGGCCCTTTGGAAGACACAGAGCGTTATTTGGGAGTGGACCTCTGGTGGTACGTTGTTGGCCTGAAGAGTTAATGTTTCTCACAAGGGTATCTAACTTATATTCAGGTAATCACTTATTTACCCAAAGCATCTGGTATTTTCAGTATTGAATTCCTTTCTCACAGGTCGCGATTGCCCTAGTCTAAGGCTTCTCACCATAATTGGCATTGTAGGCAATTAGCTTCATGGAAATCATGTCGCCGGTAGGAAATTATCTTCCTACTTCACTGACCTGCCTGCCAAAAATGATACTAGTTCTTGTTATTGGTTTGCTTTCTATCCTGTAAGCTCTTTTTGTTCATTGCTTCATGACATTTTACTTTTTCCAGAATTATCACTGTAGAACCTTATCAGAGGCTAAAGAATATGTCTTTATATAAAGCTCCTGCATTTCCCTTGAGCTTTCCATTGCAGTACTGTTTTTGAACATTGATGACAAGGTAGTGAAACACTGCTAATAAATATATAATGGGTTTTTCAATTTAACCTTGCATTTCTAGGTATTCATTCACCACACTGAAACTATGAGGCTTTTTAAGGTTTTGTTTAGTTTTGCACTGAAAGCACAGGGAAAAATAAATTCAACAAATACTGCATTTAAGACTGACCATCTTGTGAGTATTTCCCCGATTACTCCCACACATTTTTTTAAGAGATCTTACCTTCTATTTGAGTCATGGGATACCAAGGTCTTCATTACTGATTAAAAATGACATAGTGATACATACTTCTCTTTTCCCTTTCATTGGCAAGAATTAAACTGTGATTTAAACAATGCTCTATCACCCTTAACTCTTGGTTGTCCGTAGAGTTCCTGCCTGGTTCTCTTCTTACTTCTACTTCATGAGTCTCCCTCAGTGAACTCATTCACCCCTATGGTATTTTTTTCCATCCATATGCAAATAATCCCCAAATCTGTATCTCCAGCTGAGAATTCTCTGAGCACAGGTCCATCTATCCAGCTATCTCTTGGATCTCTTTTTAGGATATCCCACAAGTATCTCAAATTTAATTTGTTCAAAGATCAAACCTGTTCTCTCATCTGTTTCTCACTTATTTTGTCAATACAGAAACCCTAAAGTTAACCTTGACTGTGATTTTCCACCTTCTCCATACATCCAAATCCAATTGATTCTGTTTTAATACCAGTGTGTCTAAACCAGTAGATCTCAAATGGGGGTAATTTTGCCATGCAGGAGACATTTTTGGTGATCACAACTGGAGGAGGGTCTGCTCTTGGCATCTAGTGGATGGAGGCTGAAGATGCTACTAAACATCCTACAGTGCCCCTACAGTGCACAGGACAGCCCTTCACCACTAAGAAATATGTGGCCCGAAATGTGCAGAAACCCTGTTCTAAACAGTTTCCTCTCCTCCCTTCCTTCCTTGTACTACATTAGATTGCCCTCTCATCATTCTAAGCAAAGTGGTCTCAACTAACTAGCCTAGTCTCCATTTGCCCACCCTGAACCCCATCCCATATCCTTCTTCAAAATCTAATCCAAATACTTTTCCCTTGGGTGTGTGTCTTGAACATGGCTCTCCATTACCTATATGAGGAAGTCCAACCACCTATTATTTTGTGCATGAGGCCCTCCATGACCTGGTTCTGTCTACCTCTCCAGTTCCATCTATTGCCATTCAGCTCCCTACTCTATAATCCAATCCAGTGATTTAGCCATTCTGCACAAACTTTCCCTGCACATTCAACTACACGCTCCCTCTTTCCTCATATTACCCTCTCTGCCTGGAATGCCCTTCCATTCCCCACAATGCTAACTACTGTTTCTCCTCTAAGGCTCAGGTTAGGTACATTCCTTCAGCCTTCTCTGTTGACCCCAGTATAGATTCATTGTCCCTTTCAGTTCATCTAACATATGCCATGGATGTTATACTTAATAGCTATATGACAGTACTTATACTTACAATCATCCATTTACTTATGTTTCCCTTATGTTTTATAGTACCCATTTACTTATGTTTCCCTTCATTACACTATAAAGTCCTTGAGGACAGAAACTATATCACTTTCATATTTGAATCCCTAATAATTAGCATTGTCTCTAGTTCTTAGCATCGTGCATGACATTCTTGGGCATTCAGTAAACATGGGTAGAGTGCATGAATGGTTACTTGCTTATTAGGAATCTCAAATTCATTGTTTTTAAGACCTACAAACAAGAGGTGGAATGGATTCTGGGCCCCAGATTGGAGGCATCACTTACAATCAAAACTTGGGCAAGCTCTTTAATTTTCAATGCTTCATTTGCTTCATATGATGAGGGGATAATGATTACATCTACTTCAAGATGATTCTATTAGCTGCTATTACATCTACAACTGTCAGAATTCTGTCTATCACATGGAAACACTTGTGTTGTTTGATAATCAACCCTTCCAACAAATGTTATACTACTACATGGATTCTCCCTATTTCAGGGGCATTCATTCTGAATATCCCTTACCTGGAGTAATCCTCTTATATCCACTATAATGTGGTAGACTGTGGGAGCTAGGGGAACCCACCAAACAAAGTTTTAGCAAAAAGCACACATGTCAATGGATCTATGACTGCCACACCTTTGACACCTTTGTAGCCAGGCAGGGTAGATGGAGAATTGCCAACTATGAAACTGGAGGATTTCCTATGTATGGGATATACTGTGGTATGAAAAGTTGCTCACAGGGTGTCACAGAGTACTGCTTGTTCTTAAAAAGGAAGAACCGAGGCAACTTGAGCTTTGGAATATAGAAATGTCAGTGGGTTTACATATGACTCCCAGTGAAAGTGATACCTGTGGGGTACCTAGTCTCCAAGCACTTAAAAAAGTACTTTTAGGTAGATCAAATCAGGTGCCACCATGGCACTTCTGGAAGTGCATAAGAATAGTAATCATCTGCATTTTCCCTAAAAATGACTCTGAGAGGCCTGGCATGGTGGCTCACACCTGTTACCATCACTTCAGGAGGTCAAGGTGGGAAGATCATGTGAGGCCAAGAGCCTGAGACTAGCCCGGGCAACACAGTAAGACTGTCTCTACAAAAAATAAACTAGCCAGGTATGGTGGCACTCACCTATAGACCCAGCTACTCAGGAGGCTGAGGCAGGAGGATCACTTGAACCTACGAGTTTGAGGCTGCAGTGAGCTATATCTAGCCACTGTGCTCCAGGCTAGGTGACAGAGTGAGACCCTGTCTCTAGGGGGGAAAAAATAGACTAAATTCCCTGAGCTGGCTCACAGGTTCTCTGATCAAATCAGGCACGGTGACTTCTTGGCCTGTGCACTTCTTTCTTCATCATGGTTTTCTCACCAAGGGCTTTAGGACCAGCTCCCATGACTGAGCAGCCCAAACTGCAGGCCGCAACTAAACCAACTCATTTCTATTATGTGGCAAGTTAATTAATCCTCCTGCTTCAGTTTCTCTATCTGTAAAATTGGGATAATAGCATTACCTACATCACAGAATTTGTATGAGATGAAATGAGATAGCCAGTGTCAAATGCTTTGTGAACAGTCTGACACATGGTAAGCTCTAAATAATTGTTAGCTATTATTATACAAAAGTTCTACTAAATTTTGTTTGAAATAGGGTTATCCAAATAAAGTTTGGAAACTATAATAAACTTTTGTGCATCAAAGGGTAAGAATTCTATGGAATACAAATTCTAAAACCCTTAGCCCTTCAGATAAAAAAATAAACTACAGACTCTCAGAATTATAAAGAATTTCTACTACCAGGATTTCTCCTAACTGTGTTTTGCTTGGCATCATGGAATAATCTATGCAAAGTAGAGCCAGGATTCCTCAAGGATCTAGAACTAGAAATACCATTTGACCCAGCAATCCCATTACTGGGTATATACCTAAAGGATTATAAATCATGCTACTTTAAAGACACATGCACACATATATTTATTGCAGCACTATTCACAATAGCAAAGACTTGGAACCAACCCAAATGCCCATCAATGATAGTCTGGATTAAGATAATGTGGCACATATACACCATGGAATACTATGCAGCCATAAAAAAGGATGAGTTCATGTCCTTTGCAGGGACATGGATGAAGCTGGAAACCATCATTCTCAGCAAAATATTACAAGGACAGAAAATGAAACACCGCATGTTCTCACTCATAGGTGGAAATTGAACGATGAGAACACTTGGACACAGGGAAGGGAACATCAGACACTGGGGCCTTTTGGGGGGTGGGGGGCTGGGGGAGGGATAACATTAGGAGAAATACCTAATGTAAATGACGAGTTGATGGGTGCAGCAAACCAGCATGACACAGGTATACCTGTGTATCAAACCTACACGTTTTGCACATGTACCCTAGAACTTAAAGTATAATAAATATTAAAAAAAAAAAAGAGTTTCCGGGACAAGTCCTCACCCTACAGTTGTTCACATTCAAAGCTTTTTAGAGAGGCTAAATGTAATGCAGGGTGTGTCTCAAAAGAAAACACACAAGGGAATGGACTACCCTCAATTTCCTTCTCTAAATTTCCTTCTCTAAACTGAGGACTTGTTTTTGAAGACTGAAAAAAAAAATTTCCTCTTGCAATCTCAAATTGTAATATAATAATTTCAAAAGTTGCTCAGAAGCTGTTGGTTTTCAATAGTAAAATGAAAAGTTAAAATTATAAAATTGTAAGCATCAAAAATCAATCAGCATCTTTCTTATTTGAACCTTGATATGAAATTATATAGGTATTCATTTTACTTGTCCCTTCCTTCTTTTGCTTTAAATGCAAAAATGACAGAAAATTCTTACTCAGCTAAAGATTATTTTTATATTCCTGCTTCTCTTGTGATGCTTCTTGCACCCATATTAGGAAACAAAGTCTTGAAGTTCTTTGTAATGTTATATGTTACTTCAATTAAGTATGTACAAATGTCATTTTTTAATTTTTAAACTACAAAACAAGATAAATTTTTTGAATTGCTAGTCACTTAGACTTATTTTTACAATTTGCCTCTTTATTCAGTCATATTGTCTATCATTTCCTTTCTTTTATATTTGGTAAAAATTTTCATAGACAAAAATTTTCCCATTATGATCTAATGATTTTTAAATTTTCCACATTCCTAGAATTCTGATTAAACAATCTCAAGGCATTCTTCAATTCGAAGCTCAAATCAAGCATAATTCAGGTTCATGAACATATGGAGATAATGATGGCTTAGAAAATTCGCCATGACCAAACTGCTGCTTTTGCTGCCTTGAAGTTCTGTGGCTATTTGCTTTGTAAATTTCTCCCCACTGTGGTTTCAGATACCTTGGGGAAAATAGACTCCTAGGCATACGAGGAGGACAGGATGGTAGTGGGAATGTAGAAGGATAAAGTTTCTACTCTACTGCTCTGGTTCTACACCCTTCAATTATATTACAGGGGGTCAACACTGAGGTGGCACTTCTAACTCTCAGAACTTTGTTAAGAACATCTCTACCTCCTAATGGTCTTTTTGTTGATTCCTTTGTTTGTTTTACTAATAATGTATTTTAACTATTATAGCTTTTATACCATTTAAATTGTTTTTCTGATAATTTTACCCCAATTTACATCTGTCCTACTATGTAAGTGTCATGCTTTGATGTGCTTCCTTTTTTCATATACTTTTTAATTGAAGATAAAATATATACAGAAAAGTGCAGGAAACATTAATGTACAAACTTTTACAAATTGAACTCACCCAATAACAATGCAGATTAAGAAACTGAATCTCAACAGCACTCCCCAAGGCCCCCCTCATACCAGCTTCTAGTCACTAGCCCCTTTCTCTTCAAAGGTAATCACCTATTCTAACTTTTAGCACCACAGGTGCCCTGCTCTGTCCAGGTCTGAGAGTTACCAAAGGCTAAAGTCACCTTCAGGAGTATGGCCATCCTTGGTGAATTGACACCTATGGCTGTGCTCCATTGCAGCTGTTCCCATGCCAAATCTGGGCTCTGCACAGGCTGGAGTGCTGTCTGTTTCAACTCTCTGGGTAGTTCTCTCTGCCAGCTCAGATGTCCATCGGGGTGTGGGGTGTCCTGCAGCTTAGGATTCTGGAGGTTGATGGTGAGAGTGGGCCACTCCATGTCTACTTCACTCACTCCTTCCCTAGGGGCTGCTCAGGGCCAAGAACAAGTCCTGAGGCTCAGCAACCCCATGCAGGGTTCCCAACTTCCTTCCCTTTCTCTTTAAAATTTTTTTGTTTTGTTTTGTTTTATTTTTTTCTGAGACGGAGTTTCACTCTTGTTGCCCAGGCTGGAGTGCAATGGTATGATCTTGGCTCATTGCAACCTCCATCTCCTGGGGTCAAGCGATTCTCCTGCCTCGGACTCCTGAATAGATGGATTACAGGCATGCCCCACTAATCCTCCCTCCCCTTTCACTCTGCGGTCTGTGTCCTCTTTCTGTTCACTCTCAATGCCCTCTTTCCAAAGAGTGTGCCAGTTTACTTGATGGTCTTGTTGGGAGACCAAAATGGGCTCTCTTGGTGGGAGAAGCTTTTCTTGGCTGTGTCTAGTCAGCTGTCTTGGCTCTTACCCCTTTCTTGTCTTCTTAAAGTCTACTTTGTCAGATATTTATACAGCTACATGTTTGTTTTGTATTGTATTTTAACTATTATATTAATATGTATTTTAATTATTTTATTATACATATTTTAATTATTATAGCTTTTATACCATTTTGGTTGTTTCTGTGGGATATATTTTTCTGCAATTTTATTTTTAAACGTTCTATATCATTATACTTAAAGTCATCTCCTCTAAGCAGCATATAGTTTAGGCTTTGCTTTTGTATACAATCTGGTAATCTTTGTCTTTATTTGCACATTGGTTCCGTTTACATCTAATGTAATCACTGATATATTTGGTTTTAAATCTACCACTTACGTTTTGTTTTCTATTTGTTTCATCTGTTCTATGGTGTTCCTTTTCTCTCCTTTCTGGATTTCTTTAAAAAATTTTGTTTTGCTCTTACATTTACTTGTTAATTATATAGTATTTTACTATTCTTTTACTGTTTAACCTAGAATATATAACAGGAATCCTTAACTTATTAAAATCTAATATAAATTAGTACTTATGTTTACTATTTCAAGATAATGCAAGCACCTTTATTTCCATTTATCTTTCTCCTGCCTTATATGTTAACATTTAATTATATATTTTAAACCCTTAATTCTCTCTGTATTTTAAGCAATACATTATTATTGTTTTATACAGTTATTGTTTATTTAGCTCTATCTACATATTTATTTACCATTTTCATTACTCTTTATTCTTTCCTGAATTTTCATCTGGAATTATTTTCCTTCTAACTGAATAACTCCTTTTAGTATTTTCTTTAGTATGGGTAAGCTGATGACAAATTCTCTTAGTTCTTGTTTGGTAATTTCTTTATTTAACATTCCCTTTTGAAGGATATTTTTACAATGTATAAAATTCTAGGTTTGAATCCAAGTATACATTAATAGATAAATAGTTTAAAAATTTTATTTATGTATATACAATAGAATATCATTCAACCTTTAAACAGAAGAAAATTGACACACGTTGCAACACAGATGAATTTTGAGGACATTGTGCTAAGTGAAATATACCAGTCACAAAAAGACAAATAGTACATGATTACACTTATATGAGATATCTAAGGCAGTGAAATACATAGAAACAGAAAGTACAATGGTGATTGCCAGGTCACTGGGGGGAGGAGAAAGAAGAAAAGGGGTTGTTTAATTATATGTACCGAATGTTATGTTCACCCCAAATCCATGTTAACACCCTAATTCCCATTGTGCTGGTAGTTGGAAGTGGGACCTTTGGGAGGTAGTTAGGTCACAAAGGTAGAGCTCTCATGAGTAGTACCAGTGTGCCCTTTATAAGAGGAGACATAAGAAAGATGATCTCTCTCTCTCACCACCATGTGAGGATGCAGCAAGAAGGCAGCTATTTGCAAACCAAGAGGACTCACACCAGACACCAAATCTGCTGGCACTCTAATCTTGGTCTTCTTAACCTCCAGAACTGTGAGAAATACATGTTTGTAGTTTAAGCCACCCAGTCTATGATATCTTGCTATTGCAGCCTGAATTAAAACAAATAGGGGTAGAGTTTCTGTTTTGCAACACAAACAAGTTCTAGAGATTGGTTGCACAATAATGTAAATATATTTAATACTGCCTAACTTTACTCCTAAAGTGGTTAAAATGGTAAATTTTATGTTATGTGTATCTTCTCACAACTTTTTTTAAAGTCTAGGTTTGCAGTTGTTTTCTGTACCACTTTAAACATTATTTTTTTTTGTCTTTTGGTTTCCATTGTTTCTGTTGAGAAGTTAGCTGTCAGTCCTAAAATTGCTCCTTTGTAGGTAATACATCTTTTGTTTCACACTGCTTTTATGTTGTTCTCTTTGTCTTTAGTTTTCAAGTTTATTATATATATAGGGTATTTTTTTCTAGTTCTGTAGGTGATGTGTGATACTTCTGAAATCTGAAATTTGATGTCTTCAGTTTTAGAAGATTTCCTGCCATTGTCTCTTCAAATATTGCTTCTTCTCTTTCATTTCTAGAGACTACCTTTTTACTTTCTGTTTTTTAGTTCATATATTTTTATTGAGGGATAATTCTCCATGACATTTCTATATATTTTGTAGATATTTTCAAGGATGTTTGTATAGCAAACCAAGATAGAAGTAGTGTTTCCTTGTAGGGTGGAGGGTACTTTGTTTCATCAGCATCATAAAGATAATGTCCTCCTCTGAGACAAAGATTGGTCAGGTTTGCTAGAAGTCCTGCGTAAGATTGGGGATTTCCTAAGCATGAGATTCCTCAGCAGTGACACAGATCTATTGTGTCCACAGACTCTACTTAGACTCACCTCTGTATCACTCCCATGGGACTGGGGATGGGGAGTGGGTTACAGGGGAACTAAAGCGTTGAGTAGTATCTTTGTCTCTGAAACAGCAGTCTGATGCTTTCTTTCAGCATCTGTGAAATTGTGACAGCCTAACTTAGCTTGCAAGTAGGCTAAAATCTCAGAACGCTCAGAGTTCATGACAATTTTCTACTGAGCTATATTTTAGTTCACTAATGCTCTCTTTATTGTTGTGTCTAATCCACTGTTAAATATATTGAGATTTTAAATTCTCTTACTGTATTTTTTTAGTTCTAGAATATCCATTTGATTCTTTTTTGTAGCTTCTAGTTCTCTGTTAGGATTCTGAATCTAATTCTTGATTTTTTAAAAAACGTAACTTTCACAGGTATTTTTAAGCCCCAGTTTGTTAACTCCAGTGTCTGGATTGCCTATGAATTTATTTATGTTGTTTGATTTTTTTTGATGGGCTTATCTCTACATTTGCCTTATAATTTTTGATCGAATGTTGGAATAGTGTTTGAAAAATTATAGAAATAATTTGAGGATGTGAATGATATTATCTTCTTTCAGAAATAATTTACTTCTGTTTCTGTAGGGCAGTTAGGCAGTAGCATATCACTCCAATCCAATCAGGAGTTGGAGTGACTTGAGGCATGGTTTTAGTCTTTATGAGAGCTGGTCTATTTTTCACTTTGCACATCTTCCTGATTGTAGTTTTTCAGGAGTCCCAGCCAGAAGCCTTGGGTTTTTATCAAGGCTAGTATTCCTTGGAAATCCCAGGACTCCAATTTTTATCTTCCCCAACTCCATGAATCTGCTGTAAGGTGTGCTCACTTTTCAGCCTTCCAGGCTGCAGTTTAGTCTAGAAGCAGACTACTGCAATCCAAATAGGGATGGATGTTATTTAAGACTAGGTTTCAGCCTTTGTGATGACAAAGACTATATATAGCTTTTGAGGGGTCCAAAATGAAAGCTCAGGGTATTAAGGAGGACTCATCTTGCTAGGCCTTGAAAGATTGACAAAATTCTTCCAGTTTATGTAAGACTTTCCCAATTGTAGTATAAAAGCCCCAAATCCTGAGAAACCCCTCAGTCCCATGAAAACTGGACAGTCATCCTAGTTTTGAACTCCAATTTTTTAAATCTCAATCTTTATTTCAGAAGGCTAAAAACTCCAATTATCTTTTCAGTTTTTTGACTGGTCATTGTGAATCAGCAAATATCTAATGGGTTGAAAGGATGCCATGTCCCCATATAAACCAAGCTCATTTCCATTGTTCGGCCTTTAAACTTGCTTTTCCTTTGTCTGACATGGTCTTCCACTAAATTTTCTTGCAACTGTCATTATTCATGGCTCAGCTCAAGCATCATCTCTTAAGAACAACTTATGTAAAGCAGCCCCATTCTCAGTGTACTTTCTATCCCAATGCTCCATTATATGTTCTTCATAACTCATCACTATCTCGAATTACTCACTTGTTAGATTACATTTTTATTACCTGTCTTACCCTCATCTAAGTATATATTCTGGGAAATAAACTCCATAAGAGCAAGTACCTTGTTTATCTAGTTTATTTCCATATACACAGCATCTAGAACAGTCCTAGAACTTAATAGGGGCTCAATAAATACTTACTGAATAAATAAATAAATGTCTTCTGCTGATTCGTATTTTCCAAAATTTCTCAAAACCTTAAGGCTGCCGAAATGCAAGTTGCACCACAGTTAATAATTCCTTACCTATTTGAGTCCTCTCTCAAGTAGATTGAAATTGAGTTGTTTTATAGGGCTCGTTTTCCCAATTGTTTTTGCAGTTAACCAATGCTATGGTTGAATGTCCCTTCCAAAACTCATGTTGAAATTTCATTGCCATATGATAGTATAAAAGGTAAAACCTTTAAGAGGGGATTAAAGGTAATCCATTATCACCCCTGTGATTAATGCTATTATTACAGGCATGGATTAGTTATCATAGGAAGTGAGTTCCTGATAAAAAGGAGTTCTGCCCAATTTCTCTCTTGTGCAAGTGCTTCTCATTATGTGATGCCTTCTGCCATGTTATGATGCAGAAAGAAGACCCTCACCAGATGCAGCCCCTCAGTCTTGGACTTCCCAGCCTCCAGACCTTTTCTGTATAAGTTACCCAGTGTGTGGTACTCTGTTATAGAGAGAAAATGTGCTAAGACAACCAAAGATCACACTGCAAGACCTAGAAGTTTAACTTAGAATAATTTAAATTCTCTGAGAAATGCACAGCTTAACAGCCCATGAACATCTTCATATGTCCTTCAGAAAGTCATGCAGGAGTGGCTTTATATTAATGATCAATCTGTCAAAGCAAAATGCAAATGATGATGAGTCACTTTGTCAAGTGGGTGTACTAGTGCTGTGGATTATTGATGAGCTCAAAGGAAGAGGTCGTGCACTAGGGAACTCACACTGTGACAAAGATTCTCATTAGTGTTATTACTCTAAGACCTCTTATCAGCCAATAAGGCTCAAAAGGAAAAATAAAGAAAACCAGAACTGGGGGCTGACATTGGGAAAATAATTATGCTGCTATTGTGATATTGCTTATGAAGTACACCCTCAAAAATAAATGACAAAATGCCTAAAATACAATTTCCTTGGGATACATTACTCAGTAAGATGAAGAGTATCTTATCCATGGAACAGTGGTATGAGGATCTGATGATGAGCAAAACATTTTTATTGCATACTTACAGAAGCCAGGTTAAGAAAGTAAGATGTATAAATATAATTAAACATCATACTCCTAGCTACCACTTGTTGAGAGAACCAGCATCCTTGGCACCATCTTCAACACCATTCTTCCTCTCCTGCAAACCTTGTTGCTTCTAAAATCAAACATATCCACAACATGACCATATCCCACCACCTCACTGTTGTATCCTGTTCAAAAGTGTTATCACTTCTTGCCCAAATTATTGTAGTAACCTTTAACTGATATAATCCATTTCTAAATTGCTTGAACACCTAATGATGGCTCAGCAAAAACTAACATTTTAAAATGTATTCATGAATAGTAAGGTACACCAAACAGAAACAGCTGTTTTTCTAAGCCTTTGCAAAGAAGGGGGAAAGCTATTGGGTGTGGAGGTGGGACAGAGGAAAACTATAGCCAGTGGGCCAAATCTCACCTGTTTCCTATCTTTGTAAATAAAATTGTATTGGAGCACAACCATACCTATTTATTTATGTGTTGCCTATGGCTGTTTGTACTACAATGGCAGGGTTGAGTAGTCCAAACAGAGATGTATGACCATCAAAGCTTATTGTATTTACTATTTGACCTTTAAAGAAAAAAACTTGTCAGTTCCTGAACTTAGGATGTAGCTCATGTTCTTGTAGAACCATTAGAATAGATCATACTATGTTTATTTTCCTTAAGTGTAGCTAGGAAGTATCTATATACATTATTCTTAAACTTCCAGAATATTTCTGTAAAGAAATTTTGTCAAAAGTCAAACCTAAACAAAGCTTCCTTCCTAACACAACCTTAGTGTTTCCAAGAAGTATATAGCTCAGTTCCAGTCATCTAAAAACTAATGTTCTGTCCATCGAAGTAATTAAAGTCTTCAGTCCACCACCATTTAAAATTAGTGCTCTGGCCAAACCGCCACAAATGCTCTATGTGACTCCATTTTCTGTTGTGTTTCCTTGTCAGATTTGATTCTTTATTTCACTGAAATGGACCAATTTTTAGAAGAACATTATTCCATTCTGAAAACTTCCTGTAAGGCATGCGTTCATTACATGGCATGAGGTGCTTGAATTAATGCACTACCTATATTCTCAAGGCTTTGAATAACATATGTCAAGTATATATTCTTATAGATTTGAACTTAAAGCATTCCTTCTGCTCACTTGACATTTCCCTGCATCTTCTATCTGTCCAAAACTAAACTCTCAATCTAACACTTACCCTGCCCAGACCTGCTTACTTCAGCCATCTCCATCTACTTACAGCAGCTCCATCCTTCTCGTCACCTAGGCTAAACAACTTGAGTTCATCCTTAGTTTGGATATACAATGTGTGGGAGAGAAGTCTAACAGACAGTCTGTGATGGTTAAAACTGAGTGTCAACTTGACTGGATTGAAGGATGTATAGGTGTGTCTGTGACGGTGTTGCCAAAGGAGATTAACATTTGAGTCAGTGGGCTGGGGAAGGCAGACCCACCCTTAATCTGGTAGGCACAATCTAATCAGATGCCAGCAAAAATAAAGCAGGCAGAAAAATGTGAAAAGGCGAGACTGACTTAGCCTCCCAGCCTACATCTTTCTCCTGTGCTGGATGCTTCCTGCCCTGAAACATCAGACTCCAAGTTCTTCAGTTTTGAGACTTGGACTAGCTCTCCTTGCCCCTCAAGCTTGCAGACAGCCTATTGTGGGACCTTGTGATTTATGAACTCATATATACATATATATTTATATATGTATACACATATATGTATATATACACATATATTTATATATGTATACACATGTATGTATATATACACATTTATATATGTATACACATGTATGTATACACATATATGTATATATACACATATATTTATATATGTATACACATGTATGTATATATACACATTTATATATGTATACACATGTATGTATATATACACATTTATATATACATAGATACATGTGTGTGTATACATGTATACACAAATATACATGTGTGTATATGTGTATACATGTATACACAAATATACATGTGTGTATATGTGTATACACATACATATGTGTAAACATGTACACATATATACACACATACATGTATATACACATACATATATACACACATACATGTAGATGCACATACATATATATGCATACATGTATATACACATACATATATGCATACATATATATACATACACACATACATGTATATGCATACATATATACACGTATGCATATGAACACGTACACATATGCATGTATATATACATGTATACATGCATGTGCATATACATGTACACATGCATGCACACATGTATACATGCATGTGCGTATACATGCATACATGTGTGTACATGTATGTGTACATAAAAATATACACATGCATACATGTAACTGTATATGCATGCATGCATACGTATACACACATGTATGAACGTATGTGTGTACACATGTATACATGCGTACACATGTATACATGCGTGCACATGTATACATGTATGGACATGTATACATGTATGCGTATATACATGTATACATGTGTGTATATGCACATATACATGAATACATGTATATATACATGTATATATGTGTGTATATACACACATATATGCATGTATACATGTGTATTATACATACATATATACTGTATACGTGTATATACACATGTATACACGTATACATACATATATGGGGAATTCCCTATGATCAGTTGACAGAGGAAGAGAAGACTAGGGCCTGGTTCACTGATGGTTCTGCACAATATGCAGGCACCACCCAAAAGTGGACAGCAGCAGCATGACAGCCCCTTTCTAGGACATCTCTGAAGGACAGCAGTGAAATCTTCCCAGTGGGCAGAACTTCAAACAGTGCATCTGGTTGTACACTTTGCATGGAAGGAGAAATGGCCAGACGTGCGATTATATATTGATTCGAGGGCTGTAGCCAATGGTTTGGCTGGATGGTCATGGACTTGGAAGAAGCATGATTGGAAAATTGGTGACAAAGAAATTTGGGGAAGAGGTATGTTGATGGACCTCTCTGAGTAGTCAAAAACTGTGAAGATATTTGTATCCCATGTGAGTGCTCACCAACAGGTGACCTTGGCAGAGGAGGATTTTAATAATCAAGTGGATAGGATGACCTGTTCTATGGACACCACTCAGCCTCTTTCCCCAGCCACCCCTGTCATTGCCAAGTAGGCCCATGAACAAAGTGGTAATGGTGGCAGAGATGGAGGTTGTGCATGGGCTCAGCAACGTGGACTTCCACTCACCAAGGATGACCTGGCTATGGCCACTGCTGAGTGCCCAATTTGCTAGCAGCAGAGAGCTACACTGAGCCCTCAATATGACACCATTCCTCGTGGTGATCAGCCAGTGTCCTGGTGGCAGGTTGATTATATTGGAACTCTTCCATCATGGAAAGGGCAGAGGTTTGTCCTCATTGGAATAGACACTTACTCTGAATATGGGTTTGCCTATCCTGCCTGCAGTGCTTCTGGCAAGACTACCATCCATGGACTCACAGAATGCCTTATCTACCATCATGGTATTCCACACAGCATTGTCTCTGACCAAGGTACTCACTTTATGGCTAAATAAGTGAAGCAGTGAGCTCATGCTCATGGAATTCACTGGTCCTACCATGTTCCCTATCACTCTGAAGCAGCTGGATTAATAGAATGGTGGAATGGCCTTTTGAAGTCACAATTACAATGCCAACTAGGTGACAATACTTTGCAGGGCTGGGACAAAGTTCTCCAGAAGGCTGTGTATGCTCTGAATCAGAGTCCAATATATGATACTGTTTCTCCCATAGCCAGGATTTATGGGTCTGGGAATCACGGGGTGAAAGTGGAAGTGGCACCACTCACCATCACCCCTAGTGATCCACTAGCAAAATTTTTGCTTCCTGTTCCCACGACATTATGTTCTGTTGGCCTAGAGGTCTTAGTTCCAGAGGAAGGAACACAGCCACCAGGAGGCACAACAATTCCATTAAAATGGAAGTTAAGATAGCCACCTTGGGCTCCTCCTACCTTTAAGTCAACAGGCTAAGAGGAGAGTTACAGTGTTTGCTGAGGTGACTGACCCAGACTATCAAGATGAAATCAGAATACTACTTCATAATGAAGGTAAGGAGCAGTATGTATGGAATACAGAAGATCCATTAGGCTGTCTCATAGTATTGCCATGCCCTGTGATTAAGGCCAATGGGAAACTACAACAGCCCAAGCCAGGCAGGACTACAAATGGTCCAGACTCCTCAGAAATGAAGATTTGGTTCACTCCACGAGGAAAAAATCTGCTACCTGCTGAGGTGCTTTCTAAAGGCAAAGGGAATACAGAATGGGTAGTAGAAGAAGGTAGTCATCAATACCAGCAGCTACCACATGACCAGCTGAAGAAACAAGGAAGGTAACTGTCATGTGTATTTTCTCCTTTAGTTAATAACATATTTGTGCATTATACACTTGTACTAATAAAATATCTTCATTTCCTTTTCCTTTATCATGTGACATGAGATTTATTGACTTCCTATCAGCATTTAAGTATCGTTAACTTTATATAATAGTATTTGGGTTGGGTGTTGGTGCATTTCCAGTTGTATGAAGGATGGTTGTATTATGTTAGTGTAGTTATGACCTCATTATTGTCTTTCTTTGAGATTGTGTATGACCTCAGGAGATGTGTATGGGTTCAAGTTGACAAGGGGTGGACTTTTGATGGTTAATACTTAGTGTCAACTTGATTGGATTGAAGGATGCAAAGTATTGATCCTAGGTGTGTCTGTGAGGATGTTGCAAAAGGAGATTAACACTTTAGTCAGTGGGCTGGAGAAGGCAGATCCACCCTTAATCTGGTGGGCACAATCTAATCAGCTACCAATGAATATAAAGCAGGCAGAAAAACGTGAAAAGGTGAGATTGGCCTAGCCCCCCCCAGCCTACGTCTTTCTCCTGTGCTGGACGCTTCCTGCCCTCAAACATTGGACTCCAAGTTCTTCAGTTTTGGGACTAGGACTGGCTCTCCTGGCTCCTCAAGCTTGCAGATGGCCTATTGTGGGACCTTGTGATTTATTAAGACTTAATAAACTCATATATATATATTTATATAAATATATAAAATATATATTTTATATATATTTATATAAAAATATATATAAAATATATATTTATATATATTTATATAAATATATATAAAATATATATTTTATATATTTTTATATATGTATAAAAATATATAAAATATATTTATATTATATATTTATATATATAAATATATATATTTATTTATAAATAAATATATATATTTATTTATAAATAAATATATATATTTATTTATATTATATATATATTTATTTATATTATATATATATTTATTTATATTATATATATATTTATTTATATATAAAATATATATATTTATTTATATATGATATTTATTTATATAACTTTTATGTATAAATTTTTTATATAAAATATATTTATATATTATATATTTATAAAATATATTTATATATTATATATTTATAAAATATATTTATATATTATATATTTATAAAATATATTTATATATTATGTATTTATAAAATATATTTATATATTATGTATTTATAAAATATATTTATATATTTATATTTATATCTTGTATATAAATACATATATAAATATATATGTATTTATATACAAGATATAAATATATATGTATTTATATACAAGATATAAATATATATGTATTTATATACAAGATATAAATATATATGTATTTATATACTAGATATAAATATATATGTATTTATATACTAGATATAAATATATATTTATATACTAGATATAAATATATATTTATATACTATATATAAATATATATGTATTTATATACTATATATAAATATATATGTATTTATATACTAGATATAAATATATATGTATTTATATACTAGATATAAATACATATCTTTTATTTATATTTATATATGTATTTATATATAAATACATATATAAATATATATATAAATATATATAAAAATATATGTAGGATCTCAAGAGATGTCTACGGGTTCAAGTTGACAAGCGGTGGACTTGTGATGGTTAATACTGAGTGTCAACTTGATTGGATTGAAGGATGCATAGTATTGATGCAAAGTATTGATCCAAGATATATATATATGTATCTCCTATTAGTTCTGTCCCCGTAGGGAACCCTAATACACAGTTTTATCACCTTCTAAATAGATTCAGAACCTTCTTACTTCAAACTGTCTCCACAGCCACGCCCCTAGCTCAAACCACTATTGTCTCCACCTGGATGATTGCAGAAGCCTCCCTGCTGGTTTCCCTGCTCCTGTCCCTTACAATCTGTTCTGAACAGAGCAGCCAGAGTGATCCCATCAAAACTTAAGTCTGATCATGTCCACTCCTCTGGTCAAAACCCTCTGATGGCATCCTGACTTGCTCAGGATAAAATTGGAAGTTTCTACAATGATCTACAGGGTCTAGGTACCTATGACCTCTCTGGCTTCATCTCCTTTTTATCTACCTTGCTTATTCTGATGTAGTTACATAGGCCTCTTTATCATTCTTGGAACATAATAGGCAAACCCCTCCTTTGCACTTGCTCTTCCCTTTGTCTGGAACTGGCTTTCTCCCAGGTAATCCACACAGCTTCCTCCCTCACTTAAAGTCTTTGCTCAAATTCACTCCATCATAAAAGCCTATGTTGAACACCCTGTAAGTCAGCATCCCTGCCTAGAATATCCTTATCCTTTATTCTAGCAGCTATCACCATCATTTCATTTTTAGGCTCTCAGAACAGAGACTTTGCTCTGTTCACTACTGTAAGCCCAGTACCTAGTACAGTGCTTAATCTAGGAGATTCTTTTTTTTTTGAGATGGAGTCTTGCCCTGTCGCCCAGGCTGGAGTGCAGTGGCGTGATCTCAGCTCACTGCAAACTCTGCCTCCCGGGTCCAAGCAATTAATTCTCTGCCTCAGCCTCCTGAGTAGCTGGGATTACAGGTGCTTGCCACCAGGCATGGCTAATTTTTGTATTTTTAGTAGAGACAGGGTTTCACCATCTTGGCCAGGCTGGTCTTGAACTCCTGACCCTTGTGATCCACCCACCTTGGCCTCCCAAAGTGCTGGGATTATAGGTGTGAATGCCCGGCCAGTACCTAGGAGATTCTTAATACATATTTCCTGAATGAATGAATGGGCACTTAACTATGTTCCAGGCTCTGTGTTAAATTCCTTACATACATTTTCTCATTGAACCCTCAGAACAAAAAAATTGGCCTGTGTTGTTACATACTTTTAATGCTGAGGAGTAACTCTCTCCAAGTCACACAGACTGGAAGTACATCAAGATATGCTGGCTCTGAATCACTAAGCTTTATCACCATCTCTCCTACTTCTAATGAGAAGCTTATAAGGAATGTACAAAAAGATGACTAATGTTAGAGGGGCAGAAATAAGTTTCCTGAACTTTAGCTGTTCTTTCACAGTGAGGGAGGAAAAGGGAGGTGCCTAAATTGGCCAAGGGGTTGAAGCTTAAAGGAGGGGTTTCTTTAGAGAGATTTGGTGCCTGCCATAGTAGGGATAAAGAAATTTTCTCTCAAGGTTAATGTGAGAGTTTAATAAAAGGAATGTTTACAAAACTGTAGGAAGAGTGGAGGGAAACCACAAAGCATGCTTCTGTACCCTGGAACTCATATCAGCTGAGTGCTCCTAGGACTGGAAGAGTCACCGGGGTGGAGAATGGAGCTGGACAGGTGAGGGCAAGATATCCAGCAGAGCAAAGGAAGGAGGGACTTTGGGTTTCCCAAGTATCCAGACAGATTCAATTTGCCATGCCACATAAGACCTTGTGGTGGACACTTGCTGCAAGTACTTGGGACTCTCCTAAGGGGTTTTTCTGGCCTCAGGAGGAAGTCTGGGCATTTGCACAGCAGGTTGAAAGTGCCACGTGAATGAACACCCCAGGAGGCATCCTCACAAATGACAAACGTAAGTTGGTAGACAGTTATCCAAACTTCCTCTCTTTTTGAGTAGGACCACACTGTAGCTGGTTCTTGACCATCTCCCAGATCCTCCTGGCAGGATTGAGTTCCAGTTGCCTCCAGCAGTAATTTGCTTACCAACACACAACATGGCTTCTTTCCCTTTCCTGTTTCACTCCATCCCTCTCTCACTAGGTGTTTCTTGAGATCACCCCCCAAACAAATGGCTCTCAAATCCTAGTCTTAGGGCAAGGTGCATGGCTCATGCTTGTAATCCCAGCACTTTGGGATTACAAAGTGGGCTGATCACTTGAGGTCAGGAGTTTGAGACCAGCCTGGCCAACATAGTGGCCATCTCTACTAAAAGTACACAAATTAGCCGGGTGTGGTGGCATGCACCTGTAATCCCAGCTACTTGGGAGGCTGAGGCAGGAGAATCCCTTGAACCTGGGAGGCGGAGGTTGCAGTGAGCCAAGATCATGCCACTGCACTCCAGCCTAGGAGACAGAGTGATACTCTGTCTCAAAAACAACAACAACAGCAAAAAACCAAAATAAACAACCTTAGTCTTAGGATCCACTTTTGGGGAATTCAACCTAACAGTGAACTTGACAAAAACCTATGACAAACTGGAGTTTAGGAATAGTAAACATTCAAACAGATTTTCAAGTTAGGCCACTGGTATAATTTTGGAGACTGCAGGGCAAATTTTCCTATTGATCTGCAAAAAGCAATGGAAATCATAGGCTTTATGTCCTTGGATTCTTTGAGTGGTATTGGGAGGCAGAGGAAGGAGGGGAACAAATGGTTATTAATCCCAGGTTTACCAAATACATTGTCAGGCTGCGCAACTTGCAGGTGGTCTTGCCTGTTGTCTGGGAGGAGTGACTGAACAGCGTTCTCCCAGGCTGTCTGTGTTCTCAGTCAACTGAGTGAGGCTAAGACATGAGAAATGAAGAGCTCCAACTTTGTTTGGGTGGAATTCATTCATTCATCCATTCAATGAATATGGACTAAACATGACAAAATGCCACGTAAGATGCTAATTATCATGCAAGTTACATTCACTAACACCACCTTAGAAAATAAACTCATGAGAATAATTAAGTTCGAATACAATAGACTAGAAAATAATCAAATTTAACCATTTATTTTCTAGGATGTTTTCTACAAGACATTATTTAGGCAAACTTTTGACTGCTAAGGCCATTCTACACATTGTAAATGAAAACAATTTTATTGTTATAGATGTTATAAATACACATACTTAAGAAGTTAAATTTTCTCTTTACTAAAATTCTATTAGTCTGTAAAACCATTTTGTAAGGACCAAAAATATATTTATATATCACAATTTTAGTTACACTTCATCAAATTCCTATTCATCTGTATAAGTCACATATCTTTTTTCATCTTAATATTTTATCCTCTGGTTAAACAAACAAACCAAACTTTTCAGCTTAGCTCTTTAAATTGTAAACCATCTTTCTTTTTTAACTATAGCATATATGGTTCAGTAAAATCATATTGTACCTCTCTTAGTAGGTAAATTTTATGTACAGACTGTTGTTTCTAAAATATATTTTACCATTTCTTAAGTTTCCATTTGTAAGTGTAAGGTGTTTGCCTAATTTGAAGAAATTAGCTTTTCTCTCCAAAATTTATTATCTGAGCTCCCTATAATTTTTCAACATACCATCTTTTATTTTAGACATACATTTAAAGCACAGATTTCATCATAATTACAGAATTAAAATAACTTTTAAATATATAGACATGCTTTTTTTCTCCTCATAGAAAGTCCACTTCTATGGTATTAACTTTTTTATATTTACTATCATGAGGTGAACTATTGAATTTCATGTTAGATTTTCACTGGGCTGACTGATACTTAAGCTATTGTAGTTTATATCTTGAATCTCATTGTTTTACCTATACACTATATGTAAATATGTTTTTTATACACACATACACATATACAGACACGCAATGTTTTTAACTTCATTTTCAATTGTTTCTTTTTATCTCTCTGATGTTCATTCTTCAGAAGTCCTCTCCTTCCTTATCTTGTAGGTATGCTTTATTTACGAGTTTTTCTCAGGGGTAGGTATGCTTTATTTACGAGTTTGACTGTTTTGGTTAGCATTTGTAGTGCTGATGTGTAATGTGTTATGTTAATCTACTTAGGTAAAAATTGTGTCACGTCCTTCCTGGGAAAGTCAACTGGGGCTCAGTGGAGAAGATGCGGGAATGTGTGAGAGGTGGCAGTGGCCCACATGCTCATTCTCCTTCTGAAATGTAATTTACTCTGGTTTTGGGTAAGTTACATCAGCTTTTCTTGAAAATACAAAGCTGCTTGATCATAGTTGAAGGCAAATAACTGAGTTGAATTTGTAGTTTCGCCACTGGAATTAACCTTGGGCAGGCAACAGAAGCACATCTCTCCACTTTGTTTTGGCAGCATGAGGAATGAGAATAATAATGCTGCCTACTTTATGAGGAGAGCCTTAATGCATTGTACTTCTGTAGAACATTGCAAGATCCTGCCGCAAGGGGTGCTGGGAGGGCCTGGATGCTATAGAAATCTAAATGCCATTATTCTTGGTATTTCAAAGCTATTCTCTCAGGGTCATAGCAGTCTCTCACCAGTGGGCTATTGAATTATTGTTATTGTTATGAATAAGAACTGGAATCTAGTCAGAAGAAACTGGAAATCTTAAGTTTTTATTGCTGCCCCAGACCTGAGCTTTTTGTATACATATGTGATTCTCTAAGATTAATTAGCTTAGTTGTTCCACATAAAAACAAAAACAGACTGGAAATGATTTCTGCTGCATCTCCAACAAAACAGGATATCAGCACCCAGACATCCAGAATGCGGACAAGGCCAGCAGGAGAGGGAAGAGGATGATGATGGCAAGATGGACATCCAGCCCCATTCTGGGAGATTTCATTATGGATGTGGGTTGTAACAGGAACAGTAGCATATGATGAATGTCAGTCATAAATCAGGCTGTTTGAAGATTGTCACTGTTGGCCTGGAGAGTCAGATTATTCTCACTGGGACTCCTGGAAAGTCTTTCTGTACTTCTGTATCTACTGCTGATCAAATTAGAAGGAAGTAGTACAACGGATGTATAAATATAATTCAGCCTCCCACCTCTACCTCCAAATGGTTTTCTGCTCTGCAGGAGCCTCTTCTCCGGTTTCCCTACTGCCAGCCTTTCTCAGGCTCTTCCATCCGCTGTGCTACTGCCAGAATATTTTTCTCCTGGGAACAAAATCGGAATTTCTCTCTCTCTCTTGCTTGAAAACCTCTCAATTCCCAGATGTTGCCCACAAGACTCATTCCAAATTCCTCTGGCAGGAATATAAGGCCAGTTACAATTTGGCCTCAAGCTGACTCATTCCTTTTATTCCTGGCCACTGTAATCCTATGCTTTAAATTCCAGCTTCAGGAAATTTTTTTAGCACTTCTTTATACAGCAGGGCCCTTTGGTCTGCCTTTACCCAAACTGTTCCCTTCACCTGAAAACGCTGTCTGCCCAAAGCCACCTTGTGGACACTCATCCTTCTGCATCCTGCTCAAAGGCTGTGCACCCTTCCTTGGAACCTTTCTCTCTCTGGTCTCCCCAGCCCTGAGTACATCCCCTCTCTACCAACCACAGAGTTAAAGTTACCTCTGCTTTTGTGAGGGTAAGAAGTATACTTCTCACTTTTTTTTTTTTTTGAGACACATTCTCGCTTTGCCATGCAGGCTGTAGTATAGTGGCATGATTACAGCTTACTGTAGCCTCAACCTCCCAGTCTCAAGCAGTCCTCCCACCTCAACCTCCTGAGTAGTTGGGACTATAGGCACATGCCACCAGGCTTGGTCAATTTTTGTATTTTTTATAGAGATGAGCTTTTGCCCAGGCTGGATTCAAACTCCTGGGCTCAAGTGATCCTCCTGCCTGGGCCTCCCAGTGTGCTGGGATTATAGGTGTGAACCACTGTGCCCAGCGCTTTTCACTGTCTTACCCCCACCTCTTTAATCCTAGAGACTGGCATTTGTATTTCTGAATGAGTGGACTATATCTCAGGTTTTCCTTTTATAGGCATACTGTAAAGCGGCATTCTAAAGCCTTATGGGAGATGTACCTTCTAAAACTGAGCTTGAGCATATTTTTGTCTTAGGTGATGAGATTAGTGGAGATGCTGGGCTCTCGTGTAGTCCTGCCACACACAGACAGGGTCCCAGTGGATTCATGTCTTGTCTCACTGAATCTCATGCAAGGCAGGCTACGTTAAGGCAAGGCTCTGATCAGGAGATGCTCAACCCATGTTGTCACAGGGTGCTACAGGTGGAAGGGCCTCATAGAGGTCACCAGTCTCACCTTAGTTTACTAGAAAAAGAGACTGAAGCTAAAAAAATTGAGCGATGCTCAAGGAAACACAATAAGCTATTATCATAACTGAAATTTGCACCTGAGTGCCCCCACACTCCAGTGGCAGGCCATTGCTCTTTATGTCCAGCCCTGCCTCTGCTGTGGTACTTTCTCAGCCACTCAGCAACCACAGGGGGGCAGGCAGAGACCAACAAGCTAAGACTCTCTTACTCCAAATGGGAACAAGTGGATATGGAAACTTGACCATGGTATTTTTTTCTAAACTGTGGCTCTGTCACAGCAGGCTGACACCTCTTCCTCTTCTCCTTTTGGTTAGCTGCTCTGACCTACTTAGACCAAAGGAATCTGAGTCTTTCCTTTGTCCCTACTCTTCTGTCTACCCCTGGGTTCTTACATATGCTTTCTCTAGTTTGGTTTTGCCTCTTCTCCATCTCACTACTCCTTGCTCCCTTAGCATCTGGGTATATCAGGAACAAGGATTTAATATGTGTGTGTGTGTGTGTGTGTGTGTGCGTGTGTGTATATATGTGTATTTCCTAATGCTTATTCAGGAAAGGTCATTACATTAAAGGTTTAAGGAGGCAAAGTACAAAGGAAATCCAACAATCTATAATAAGCATCCTGTGTAACTTTCACATTGGATATTCATGTATGCATTTGTATATGTATAGAAATTTTGAATAGGGGTATTTATGCCAACAAATGGGTAAATGAGGTATGAAATAAGATTGGGAGTGGAGGGAGATGTTGAACTAGAAGATACCTAACAATGTTTTAAGGAAAAAATTTTGTGATTCTTTTAAGTGATGGAATCCAGTAGGAAAAAGCCTAAAAGTTTTCACTAGAGATGTTTGATGGTTTTTCTTTTGGTTAAAATGGAAATAAAAACTAGGCCAAACACTGTTTTTGTGGGAGTGGGGTGGTACATGAGCTTGGGGTGTTTATCAGTTTTATTCATGGCAGTGACAAGTTCCCTCTCCTCTCTTATAAACACTCCCTACACTCATTTATTAGCATAACATAAAGGACCTCCAGTGAAAGCTTGCCCTTTGGTCTCTGACATAGAGAGATCATCACAGCACTCCTCCACACAGAGGGTACACTTAATACACACTGAGATCCTTGATTGTCTTCCTTGGTCCTCATCAGGGTCCAGCATTAAAGGCAATTGAACACATTTCCAGAGTGTGCCTTCCAGTGTCCAAAATTAGTGTCACAACTAAGTTTACATTTGTGACAAGATAAAATGTTACAGGATTTATAATAATTCATTATAATTACGTACAGCTAATATCTTCAGACAAATTGGCTAAGACGTGTTTAAAGAGTTCAAAAGGAAAACAGAAAAAACTCAACTTTAAGAACATAAAATAGTCCCATAATTTACACAAGATTACACAATTGATAAATGCTTAATAGAAATTAGAAATGTCCTTTGAATATTAAAATATTCTTTAAAAGTTTAATTATAGCCCTATAAGAGAACATATATGAGAATGGTTAAAAAATATCTTAAAATTTCAGAGATAGGCAAAAATGCAAACAGAGCTTAAGAACACTTCTAAAGACATTAAAAAAGGCACTAAGAGTTCAACAATCTGATTATTTGATTTGAGCATCAGGTGAATGGGTTTTAGGAAGAAAGGCAAGAATGAAAAACTCAAGTGTACAGATGAAAAGCTGTGAATGTAATGCTACTTACATTTGACATTTCTTTCTTTTCTTTTTTTTTTTTTTAGATGGTGTCTTGCTCTGTCACCCAGGCTAGAGTGCAGTGGTGCGATCTCAGCTCACTGCAGCCTCCTCCTCCCGGGTTCAAGTGATTCTCATGCTTCAGCCTCCCAAGTAGATAGGATTACAGCGTGTGCCACCATGTCTGGCTAATTTTTGTATTTGTAGTGGAGATGGGGTTTTCATCATGTTGGCCAGGCTGGTCTTGAACTCCTGACCTCAGGTTATCTGTCTCCTTGGCCACCCAAAGAGCTGAGATTACAGGCATGAGCCACTGCGCCTGGGCATATTTGGCATTTCTTTTGATAATTCTTTTGCTTGTCTTCCATCTGTCCCCCCTTTCATTTCTCAACAGGCAATATCAAACCTTCAATATCCTCTATGCCTCTACCAAATTCCAGTGGTTGTAGTAGGAAAAAAAAAAACCGCCCCCTAAAAATGTCCACATTATAATCCCTGATCATGTGAATGTGTTAGGTTATGTTATAGCAAAAGGGAATTAAAGTTGTAGATAGAATTAAGGCTGCTAATCACGTGACTTTGAAAAGGGGAGACTGATCCTTATAAGTGGAAGAGGGAGACACATGAGACAAAACCACAGAGACGGCAATATGAGAAGGCCTTGGCCTCATGTTACTGGCTGTGAAGATGGAGAAATGGGGTCATGAGTCAAGAAATGTGGGTAGCTCTGAAGTTGGAAAGGCAAGAACACAGATTCTGTCCCAGATCCCCAATGAGGAGATTCAGACTTGCCAACACCTTGCTTTAAACCCAGTGAGATCCATGACAAATTTCTCACCTATAGACCTGTAAGATAATAAATGTATTGTTTCAAGTCACTACGTTTGTGGCAACTTGTTAGAGTAGCAAAAGGAAATAAATATAGTGGTCTTCAAATATTTTTGCTAAGATAATGCAAAAAAAATTTTATTTTTTGAGACAGGGTCTTGCTCTGTCACCCAGGCTGGTACGCAGTGGTGCAATTTTGGCTTCCTGCAACCTCTACATCCTGCTCCAGTGACCCTCCTACCTTAGCCTCTTGAATAACTGCAATTATAGGTGTGCACCACCATGTCTGGCTTTTTTTTTTTTTTTTTTTTTGTAGAGATGAGGCTTTACCGTGTTGCCCAGGCATCAAAGAAATTTTGAACAAACACATACCTCTTCAAGTTTTCATGCAAACATCTAAAAATTTTTCAACATAAGTTTAAATAGTTGAAAAGGATGTGATTTTGGTGCATAGATATATTGTGTTTAAAACCTAAACCTAAAAGAAAAAGAATAAGAAGGAATAAAAAAGCCTTACAAGATTTATAAACCAGCATCAAAGGAACAAATATTTGAGCTACAGGAATTAAAGAAGAAGAGAGAAACAAAGGGTTAGAAAACTTATTTAAAGAAATAATAGCAGAACACATTTCAAACTTGGAGATACAAATATCTAGGAACAGGAAGGTCAAAAATGTCCAATCAGGCCGGGCGCAGTGGCTCACACCTGTAATCCCAGCACTTTGGGAGGCCAATGTGGGTGGATCACGAGGTCAGGAGATCAAGACCATCCTGGCTAACATGGTGAAACCCCGTCTCTACTAAAAATACAAAAAATTAGCTGGGCGTGGTGGTGGGTGCCTGTAGTTCCAGCTACTCAGGAGGCTGAGGCAGGAGAATGGCATGAACCTGGGAGGTGGAGCTTGCAGTTGAGCCGAGATCACACCATCGCACTCCAGCCTGGGTGACAGAGAGAGACTCTATCTCAAAAAAAAAAAAAAAAAAAGTCCAATCAGATTTAATCCAATTCCAAGACCACACCAAGATATATTAAAATTGAATTGTAAAATATCAAAGACAAAAGAGAGGATCCTGAAAGCAGCAAGAGAAAACAAGCAAGTCACATATAAAGGAGGTTCAATAAAGCTAGCAACAAACAGACTTCTCAACAGAAGCCTTACAAGCCAGGATAGAGGAAGATGATATATTCTGAGTGCTTAAGAAAAAAAAGAAAAAAAAAACCTGTCAACCAAGAATACTGCACCCAGCAAAGCTGTCCTTCAGAAATGAAGGATAAAAGCCTTTCTCAGACAGACAAAAGCTGAGGGAGTTCATCACCCCAGACCAGTCTTAAGAAATGTTAAAGTGACTAATTAGCATTCTTTTCTTCCAGTTTAAAGAACACGAGAAAAGTAAGTCCTTACCTGCCAGTAATTACCTGGCATATCAAATCAAAAGACACAGGGTGACTTAGTAGATTAAAAAAAGGACCCAACTATATGCTACTTACAAGAGAATCAGTTCAACCTTAAATGCACACATAGACTGAAGCAAAGGGATAGAAAAAGATATTCTATGCAAATAGAAACCAAAAGAGAGCAGTAGTTATACACATATCAGATAAAACAGAGGGTTAAAAGCTGTAAAATGAAACAAAGGAGGTTATTATATAATGATAAAGGGGTCAATTCAGGAAGAGCATATAACAATTATAAATATATATACAGCCAACATCAGAACACCTAAATATATAAAGCAAATATTAATAGATCTGAAGGGAGAGAGAGATTTTTATAAAATAGTAACAGACATCAACAACCCACTTTCAGCAATGAATAGATTATCCAGCCACAAGAAATTAATATAGAAACATTGAAAGTAAATGACCCTATAGACCAAATGGACCTAAAAGACATATACAGAACACTGCATCCAACAGCTGCAGAATACACATTCTTCTTAATTGGCATGGCACATTCTCCAGGATAGATCAGATAGATCATATGGTAGGCCACAAAATAAGTCTTAATAAATTTAAAGATTGAAATTGTATCAAGCATCTTTTCTGACCACACTGGTATAAAACTAGAAATAAGTAACAGAAGTTTTGGAAAATTCAAAAATTAATCAATATGCTCCTGAATAACCAATGGGTCAAAGAAGAAATTGAAAGGGAAATTAAAAAAACATCGAGATAAGTGAAAATAAATGAACAATATATAAAAGCTTCTGAAATACAGCAAAAGCAGTTCTGAAAGGGAAGTCTATCGCAATGAATGCCTACATCAAAAAAGAAGAAAAATCTCCAAAAAACTACACTACACCTCAAGGAACTAGAAAAAGGAGAACAAACTAAGCTCCAAAATTAGTCAAAGGAAGGAAATAATGATCAGAGCAGAAATAAATAAAATAGAGACTAGAAAAACAATAGAAAAGATCAATGAACATAAAAGCTAATTTCTTAATCCTTTCCCCATCTGCCTCAAGAAAATTTGCCAGCGGTGCTTGCAGCTGCAGAGTTTATCCAGAAATAACTGCCATGACATATCTTGCTTTGTTATTTTTGCATTACTGTAGTATATCAACTTTGGAAACAAAAGACATCATCCTATTTTAGCAGTGATTTTCCATTTACAAAATATGGTAATGCTCAATTGCTGAAAATGTCTAATCCTAGAAAACATAGCATTACTACACATGATGTTAGTGTCATTTTCAGTTTTTATTTGATGAATCAGATTTTTCTAAAATAGATGATTCTGATGATTCAGAAGATTCTGATGTTAGTTCTGTTTAGAAATAACTCCAAGAAAAGTTTTTGTATTTCATTTTCACATTGAAAATTAGTCAGATTTACTTCAGCCTCAAAGAGGGTACTTATGTAAAATTAAATGAGTGCTGGTAGCAAGTGGTACTTTTTTTTCCTAATTGAGCAAAGGGTTAAAAACAGAAGCAAAGTTGACAAATCTTTAGCAAGATTAAGAAAAAAAAACCTGAGGACTCAAAATGAGTAAGAGGGAGAGATCACAACTGATATCACAGAAATACAAAAAATTATAAAAGACTACTCTGTATAATTATATCTCAACAGATTAGATAGCCTAAAAGGAATGAATAAATTCTTACACACATTCAACCTACCATGAAATAGAAAAACTGAACAGATCAATAACAAGTAAGACTGAATCAGTAATAGAAAGTGTTCCCTCAATGAAAAGCCCATACCTTGATGGATTCCTAACTGAATTCTGACAATCACTTGAAGAAAACCTAATTCCAATCCTTCTCAAACTCTTCCAAAATATTGAAGAAGAGGAAATATTTCCAAACTTTTTACAAGGCTAGCATCACCCTGATACTAAGGCTGGACAAGGATACTACAAACAATAAAATTACAGGTCAATATCTCCGATGAACATGAATGTGAACATTCTTAACAAAATACTAGCAAATCATATTCAACAGCACATTAAAAGGTTCATTCACCTTGAGCAAGTGAGATTTAAACTAGGAATATAAGGATGGTTCAACACATGCAAATAATAAATATGGTACATCAGGAGAGCTGGCAAGATGGCCAAATAGGAACAGTTCTGGTCTGCAGCTCCCAGCGAGATTGATGCAGAAGGTGAGTGATTTCTGCATTTCCAACTGAGGTACCCAGTTCATCTCACTGGGACTGGTGGGACAGTGGGTGCAGCCCATGGAGGGCAAGCTGAAGCAGGGTGGGCTGTGGCCTCACCCGGGAAGCTCAAGGTGTTGGGGGATTTCCCTTCCCTAGTCAAGGGAACTTGTGAGAGACTGTATCAGGAGGAATGGTACAATCTGGCCCAGATACTGTGCTTTTCCCATGGTCTTCGCAACTAGCAGACCAGGAGATTCCCTCTGGTGCCTGGCTTGGTGGGTACCACCCTCACAGAGCCTAGCAAGCTAAGATCCACTGGCTTGAAATTCTTGCTGCTAGCATAGCAGTCTGATGTGGAACTGGGATGCTCAAGCTTGGTGGGGGGAGGGGCACCTGCCAATGCTGAAGCTTGAGTAGGCTGTTTTACCCTCACAGTGTAAACAAAGCTGCTGGGAAGTTTGAACTGGGTAGAGACCACTGCAGCTCAGCAAGACCAACTGCCTCTCTAGATTCCTCCTCTCTAGGCAGGGCATCTCTGAAAAAAAGGCAGCAGCCCCAGTCAGGGACTTATAGATAAAACCCCCATCTCCCTGGGACAGAGCACATGGGGGAAGGAGCGGCTGTGGGCACAGCTTCAGCAGACTTAAACATCCCTGCCTGATAGCTCTGAAGAGAGCAGTGGATCTCCTAGCACAGCGTTCAAGCTCTGATAAGGAACAGACTGCCTCCTCAAGTGAGTCCCTGACCTCTGTGTATCCTGACTGGGAGACACCTCCTAGTAGGGACCAAAAGACCCCATATACAGGAGAATTCTGGCTGGCATCTAGCAGGTGCCCCTCTGGGATGAAGCTTCCAGAGGAAGGAACAGGCAGCAATCTTTGCTGTTCTTCAGGCTCTGCTGGTGATACGTAGGCAAACAGGGTCTGAAATGGACCCCCAGCAAACTCCAGCAGACCTGCAGCAGAGGAGCCTGACTGTTAGAAGGAAAACTAACAGAAGGGAATAGTAACATCAACATCAACAAAAAGGATGTCCACTCAGAGACCCCATCCAAAGGTCACCAATATCAAAGACCAAAGATAGGTAAATCCATGAAGATGGGGAGAAACCAGTGCAAAAAAGCTGAAAATTCCAAAAACCAGAATGCCTTTTCTCCTCCAAAGGATCACAACTTGCCAGCAAGGGAACAAAACTGGATGGAGAATGAGTTTGACAAATTGCCAGAAGTAGGCTTCAGAAGGTGGGTAATAACAACCTCCTCCGAGCTAAAGGAGCATGTTCTAACCCGAAGCAAGGAAGCTAAGCACCTTGAAAAAAAGGTTAGAGGAATTGCTAACTAGAATAACCAGTTTAGAGAAGAACATAAATGACCTGATGGAGCTGAAAAACACAGCATGAGAACTTCGTGAAGCATACACAAGTATCAACAGGTGAATTGATCAAGTGGAAGAAAGGATATAAGAGAGTGAAGATCAACTCAATGAAATAAAATGAGAAGACAGGATTAGAGAAAAAAAGAGTGAAAAGAAATGAACAGAGCCTCCAAGAAATAAGGTCTATGTGAAAAGACCAAATCTATGTTTGATTGGTGTTCCTGAAAGTGATGGGGAGAATGGAACCAAGTTGGAAAACACACTTCAGGATATTATCCAGGAGAAGGGCTTCCCCAACCTAGTAAGGCAGGCCAACATTCAAATTCAGGAAATACAGAGAACACCACAAAGATACTCCTTGAGAAAAGCAACCCCAAGACTCATAATTGTCAGATTCACCAAGGTTGAAATGAAGGAAAAAATGGTAAGGGCAGCCAGAGAGAAAGGTCAGGTTACCCACAAAGGGAAGCCCGTTAGACTAACAGTGGATCTCTTGGCAGCAACCCTACAATCAAGAAGAGAGTGGGGGCAATATTCAACATTCTTAAAGAAAAGAATTTTCAACCCAGATTTTCAACCTAGCCAAACTAATCTTCATAAGCCAAGAAGAAATAAAATCTTTAACAGACAAGCAAATGCTGAGAGATTTTGTCACCACCAGGACTGCCTTACAGGAGCTCCTGAAGGATGCACTAAACATGGAAAGGAACAGCTGGTACCAGCCACTGCAAAAACATACCAAATTGTAAAGACCATCAACACCATGAAGAAACTGCATCAACTAATGGGCAAAATAACCAGCTAGCATCATGATGACAGGATCATATTCACACATAACAGTATTAATCTGAAATGTAAAGGGGCTACATGCCCCAATTAAAAGACACAGACTGGTAAATTGGATAAACAGTCAAGACTCCTCGGTGTGCTGTATTCAGGAGACCCATCTCATATGCAAAGACACACATAGGCTCAAGATAAAGGGATGGAGGAATATTTACCAAGTAAATGGAAAGCAAACAAAACAAAACAAAACAAAACAAAAGCAGGGGTTGCAATCCTAGTCTCTGATAAAACAGACTTTAAACCAACAAAGATAAAAAAAAAAAAAAAAGCCCAAGAAGGGCATTACCTAATGGTAGAGTGATCAATGCAACAAGAAGAGCTAACTATCCTAAATATATATGCACCAAATACAGGAGCACCCAGATTCATAAAGCAAGTTCTTAGAGATCTACAAAAAGACTTAGACTCCTACACAATAATAGTGGGAGACTTTAACATCCCACTGTCACTATTAGACAGATCAATGAGACAGAAAATTAATAAGGATATCCAGGACTTGAACTTAGCTCTGGACCAACTGGACCTAACAGACATCTATAGAACTCTCCACCCCAACTCAACAGAATATACATTCTTCTCAACATCACATTGCACTTATTCTAAAATTGACTACATAATTGGAAGTAAAACACTCCTCAGCAAATGCAAAAGAACGGAAATCATAACAAACAGTCTCTCAGACCACAGTCCAATTAAATTAGAACCCAGGATTAAGAAACTCACTCAAAACCACAAAACTACATGGAAACAACAACCTGCTCCTGAATGGCTATTGGATAAATAACAAAATTAAGGCATAAATAAAGATGTTTTTCAAAACCAATGAGAACAAAGACACAACATACCAGAATCTCTGGGATACAGCGAAAGCAGTGTGCAAAGGGAAATTTATGGCACTGAATGCCCACAAAAGAAAGCAGCAAAGATCTAAAATTGACAGCCTAGCATTAAAATGGAAAGAACTAGAGAAGCAAGAGCAAACAAATTCAAAAGCTAGCAGAAGACAAGAAATAGCTAAGATCAGAGCAGAATTGAAGGAGATAGAGACACAAAAACCCCTTCAAAAAAATCAGTGAACTAGGAGCTGGTTTTTTGAAAAGATCAGCAAAATAGATAGACTGCTAGCCAGACTAAGAAGAAAAGAGAGAAGAATCAAATAGATGCAATAAAAAAAAGATAAAGGGGATATCACCACTGATCCCACAAAAATACAAGGTACCATCAGAGAATACATAAAAACCTCTACACAAATAAACTAGAAAATGTAGAAAAAATGGGTAAATTCCTGGACACATACACCCTCCCAAGAATATACCAGGAAGAAGTCAAATCCCTGAATAAACCAATAACTAGTTCTGAAATTGAGGCAGCAATTAATAGCCTACCAACCAAAAAAAAGTCCAGGACCAGACGGATTCATAGCTGAATTCTACCGGAGGCACAACGAGGAGCTGGTACCATTCCTTCTGAAACTATTCCAAACAATAGAAAAAGACAGAATCCTCCCTAACTCATTTTATGAGGCCAGCATCATCCGATAACAAAACCTGGCAGAGATACAACAAAACAAGAAAATTGTATGCCAATATCAGTGATGAATATCGATGTGAAAATCCTCAAGAAAATACTGGCAAACTGAATGCAGCAGCACATCAAAAAGCTTATCCACCACAATCAAGTCGGCTTCATCCCTGGGGTGCAAGTCTGGTTCAACATACACAAATCAATAAACATAATCCATCACATAAACAGAACCAACTACAAAAACCACATGATTATCTCAATAGATGCAGAAAAGGCCTTCAATAAAATTCAACACCAATTCATGCTAGAAACTCTCAATTAACTAGGTATCGATGGAACATACTTCAAAATAATAAGAGACATTTAGGACCAACCCACAGCCGATATCATACTGAATGGGCAAAAACTGGAAGCATTCCCTTTGAAAACTGGCACAAGACAAGGATGCCCTCTCTCACCACTCCTATTCAACATAGTATTGGAAGTTCTGGCCGGGGCAATGAGGCAAGATAAAGAAATAAAGGGTATTCAATTTGGAAAAGAGGAAGTAAAATTGTCTCTGTTTGCAGATGACCTGATTGTATATTTAGAAAACCCCATCGTCTCAGCCCAAAATCTTAAGCTGATAAGCAACTTCAGCAAAGTCTCAGGATACAAAATCAAGGTGCAAAAAATCACAAGCATTCCTATATGCCAATAATAGATAAACAGAAGGCCAAATCATGAGTGAACTCCCATTCACAATTGCTACAAAGAGAATAAAATACCTAGGAGTACAACTTACAAGGGATGTGAAGGACCTCATCCAGGAGAACTACCAACCACTGCTCAAGGAAATAAGAGGACACAAACAAATGGAAAAACATTACATGCTCATGGATAAGAAGAATCAATATCATGAAAATGGCCATGGTGTCCAAAGTAATTTATAGATTCAATGCTATCCCCATCAAGCTACCATTGACTTTCTAAATAGAACTAGAAAAAACTACTTTAAATTTCATACGGAACTAAAAAAGAGCCCACATAGCCAAGACAATCCTAAGCAAAAAGAACAAAGCTGGAGACATCATGCTACCTGACTTCAAACTATACTACAATGCTACAGTAACCAAAACAGCATGGTACTTGAACAAAAAGAGATATACAGACCTATGGAACAGAATAGAGGCCTCAGAAATAACACCACACATCTACAACCATCTGGTCTTTGACAAACCTGACAAAAACAAGCAATGGGGAAAGGATTCCCTACTTAATAAATGGTGTTGGGAAAACTGGCTACCAGTATGCAGAAAGCCAAAACTGAATCCCTTCCTTATGCCTTATGCAAAAATTAACTCAAGATGGATTAAAGACTTCAATGTAACACCTAAAACCATAAAAACCCTAGAAGAAAACCTAGGCAATACATTTTAGGACATAGGCATGGGCAAAGACTTCATGACTAAAACACCAAATGGCAACAATGGCAGCAATGACAACAAAAGCCAAAATAGACAAATGGGATCTAATTAAACTAAAGAGCTTCTGCACAGCAAAGAAACTATCATCAGAGTGAACACGCAACCTACAGAAGGGAGAAAATTTTTGCAATCCATCCATCCGACAAAGGGCTAATATCCAGAATCTACAAAGAACTTAAACAAATTTACAAGAAAAAAACAACCCAATCAAAAAATAGGTGAAGGATATGAACAGACACTTCAAGAAAGTTATGCAACCAACAAACATATGAAAAAATGCTCATCATCACTGGTCATTAGAGAAATGCAAATCAAAACCACAATGAGATACCACCTCATGTCGGTTAGAATGGCGATCATTAAAAAGTCAGGAAACAACAGATGCTGGAGAGGATGTGGAGAAATAGGAATGCTTTTATATTGTTGCTGGGAGTGTAAATTAGTTCAACCATTGTGGAAGACAGTGTGGCAATTCCTCAATGATCTAGAACTAGAAATACCATTTGACCCAGCAATCACATTACTGGGTATATATCCAAAGGATTATAAATCATGCTACTATAAAGACACATGCACACTTATGTTTAATGTAGAAATATTCACAATAGCAAAGACGTGGAACCAACCCAAATGCCCATCAATGTACTGGATAAAGAAAACGTGGCATATATACACCATGGAATACTAAGCAGCCATAAAAAAGAATAAGTTCATGTTTTTTACAGGAACATGGATGGAGCTGGAAACCATCATTCTCAGCAAGCTAACACAGGAATAGAAAATGAAACACCACTTGTTCTCACTCATAAGTGGGAGTTGAACAATGAGAACACATGTGCACAAGGAGGGGAACATCTCACACTGAGGCCTGTCAGGGGATGGCAGGCAAGGGGAGGGATAGCATTAGGAGAAATACCTAATGTAGATGATGGGTTGATGGTTGCAGCAAAGCACTGTGGCACATGTATACATGTGTAACAAAACTGAACATTCTGCACATGTACCCCAGAACTTAAGGTATATAAAAAAAGAAAAAAGGTATAATAAAGAAATAATATACTTTATAATAAAGTATAATAAAAAAGAAAAAAATATTGTACATCACATTAACAGAACAGAATGAAGGTCAAAAAATATAATCTATAAAATATAATAGATGCAGCAAAAGCATTTGAAAAAATTCAACACCCTTTCATGGTAACTTTTAACAAAAAACTTTTAACAAGTTTAGAAGGAATGCACATCAACACAATAAAGACCACATTTGACAAGCCCATTGCAAACATTATACTCATTGGTGAAAAGTTGAAAGCTTTTCCTTTAAGATCAGGAACAAGAAAAGGATGCCTCTCATCATCTCTTTTCAACATACTATTGAACTTCTAGCCAGAGAAATTAGACAAGAGAAAGAAATAAAAGCATTCAAATTGGAAAAAAAGAAGGTAAATTGGATCTGTTTGCCAGTGAGATGATCTTATATATAGAGAACCCTAAGAATTCCCTTAAAAACTAATTAATTAGAATAAATTCAGTAAAGTTGCAGAATAGAAAAATCAACATACAAAGAATCAGTAGCATTTCTATACATTAGGAATGATCAATCCAAAAAAAAGGAAAAAGAAAAAAATCCTATTTGTGGTAGCTACCAAGAATAAAATACATAGAAATAAATTTACCCAAGGAGGTGACAGACATGTATACTGAAAACTCTAAAATACTGGTGAAATAAATTGATGAATACATAAATAAATGAAAAGATATCCCACATTCATGGAATTGAAGAATATTGTTAAAACATTCATACTATCCAAAGTGACCTACAGAGTCAATGCAATTTCTATCACAATTCCAATAACATTTTTCACAGAAATAGAAATAAATCCTAAAATTTATATGAAACCAGAAAAGACTCCTAATAATCAAAGTAATGTTGAGCAAAAAGAACAAAGCTTGACGTATTGTACTGTACTATCTGACTTAAGACTATACCACAAAGCCACAGTAATCAAAACAACATGGCACTGGCATAAAAACAGATACATAGACCAATGGAACACAACAGCAAGCAGAGAAATATAACTACACATTTACAGTCAATGGATTTTTAATAAAGGTGCCAAGAAGAAACAATGGGGAAACATAATATTTTCAATGAATGGTCTTAGAAAAACTGTATTTCCACATGCAGAAATATTTACAGTCAATGGATTTTTAATAAAGGTGCCAAGAAGAAACAATGGGGAAACATAATATTTTCAATGAATGGTCTTAGAAAAACTGTATTTCCACATGCAGAATAATTAAATTAGAAAAAAATATTACAGGCCCTATCTCATACCATATATGTTTTCCTCCAAGATGAGAGATGAGGCTTTTAGTGAGCCTCAACCACTTGGAAATAACAAGGTAGTGCATAAAGAACAACTCTGTGAAAAATAACTGCATTTTTGGTAAGTAAAATGGGAATCCACTGGAATTGTGAAGAACACTACAGACCCAGGGGAGGAGAATGTGGGCAAACAGCTCCTGTGATGGTGTCCAGCTGATAAAAGTGAGTAAATTTCCATTAAGTGAGAGAGAAAGAGTGCCTCTCTCTGTGACTCACCCTTCCACTGAGAATCCAAGCAACCCAGAGGCTTGGAAGAGCTGAGAGGGAAAGACTTGGAAAAGCTGCAGGCATTTCTTGTATCTGTGACTGAGAGCAAAATGCCATTTGGTTTTTTTTTTTTTTTTTTTTTTTTTTTTTTTTAAGATTTAGTCTTGCTCTGTTGCCCAGGCTGGAGTGCAATGGTGTGATCTTGGCTCACTGCATCCTCTACCTCCCAGGTTCAAGTGATTCTCCTGCCTCAGCCTCCTGAGTAACTGGGACTACAGGTGCCCACCACCACGCCTGGCTAATTCTTGTATTTTTTCGTAGAGACAGGGTTTCACCATGTTAGCCAGGCTTGTCTCAAAGTTTAGACCACAACTGATCTGCCCCCACTCAGCCTCCCAAAGTGCTGGGGTTACAGGCATAATCCATCACACCTGGCCCAAGATGACATTTTTAATCTGAGTACACACAAAGTTAACCATTCTTTGGCAACCTGGCAGCATGGCCATGCAGGCATTATAGTCTCAGGCCAAAGACTGAGGTGCTTGTTCTGGAGCCAGGTAGGTGCCTCCACAGCCAGAAATGTGGAAAGCATCTCAGCAGAGGGTGCTGGAATTGTGTTCTCCCTGGTCACAGTCCTGGGATGGGAGGACAGCTGCTATGGGTAGTTTCTCCCGGGTGATGAGACTTGCAGCTATAGCCAGCATGGAGATTGAAACTGGTCGTGTATGTCATTGCTGGGTGCCCAGCCTGCTTCCCTGAGATCGTGGTGCAGTGGGACCCTGTATTAGTCTGTTCTTACACTGCTATAAAGAAATACTTTATAAAATACCCAGCCAACTTGGTAACTCATGAAGAAAAGAGGTTTAATTGGCTCACAGTTCTGCAAGCTGTACAGAAAACATGGCTGGGAAGGCCTCAGAAAACTTACAATCATAGCAGAAGGCAAAGAGGAAGCAGGTCTGTATTACATGACTGGAGCAGGAGGAAGGAAGGGAGGGGAGGAGCTACACAGTTTTAAGCAACCAGATCTCATGATAACTTACTATCATGAGTACAGCACCAAAGGGGAAATATGTTCTCATGATCCAATCACCTCCCATCAGGTGCCTACTCCAATGCTGGTATTATAATTTGACATGCGATTTGGGTGGAGACACAGAACCAAACCATATTATTCCATCCCTAGTCCCTCCAATATCCCATGTCCTTCTCACATTTCAAAATACAATAATGCCTTCCAAACGCTACCCCAAAGCCTTAACTCATTCCAGCATTAACTCAAAAGTCCAAAGTCCAAAGCCTCATCTAACACAAGGCTAGTCCCTTCCACCTATGAGCCTGTAAAATCAAAAACAAATTAGTTACTTCATGGATACAATGGGGGTACAGGCATTGGGTAAATACTCCCTTTCCAGACAGGAGAAACTGGGGAGTAGAAAGGGCTACAGGCCCTATGCAAATCTGAAACCCAGCAGGGCAGTTATTAAATCTTAAAGCTCCAAAATAATCTCTTTTGACTCTATGTCTCACACTCAGGGCACACTGGTGCGAAGGGTAGGCTCCCAAGGCCTTGGGCAGCTCCACCCGAGGCTCTACAGGGTACAGTCCCTGAGGCTGCTTTCAGGGGTGGCATTTAGTGCCTGTGTCTTTTCCAGGTGCAGGGTACAAGCTGTCAGTGTGTCTAGCCCTCTTCTCACAGGTCCAGTAGGCAGTGTCCCATTGGGGACTCTGTGTGGAGGCTTCTGCTTGGTGTTCCAGGCTTTTCCATACATCTTCTGAAATCTAGGCAGAGGCTCCCAAGCCTCAACTTTTACACTCTGTGCAGCTGCAGGCTTAACACCACATAGAAGCTGCTAAGGTTTGTGGCTTGAAACCTCAGAAGAAGCAGCCTGAGATATACCTAGGATCCTTTGAGCCACAGCTGGAACTGGAGCAGCCAGGATGCAGGGAGCAGTGTTTTGAGGCTGCACAGGAAAGCAGGGCCCTGTGTCTGGCCCATGAAACCATTCTTCCTTCTTAGGCTTTGGGGCCTGTGATTGGAGGGGCTGCTGTGAGGTCTCTGATGTGTTTTCAAGGGCTTTTTTTCCCTATTGTCTTGGCTACTAGTTCTTGCCTTCCTTTTAGTTATGCAAATTTCTTCAGCTGGCTTGAATTTCTTCCCAGAAAATGGGTTTTTCTTTTCTACTGCATGGCCAGGCTGCAAGGTTTTCAAACGTTTATGATCTGCTTCCCTTTTACATATAAGTTCCAGTTTCAGGTCATTTCTCTGCTCATGCATATGAGCATAGGCTTTTAGAAGCAGCCAGGATTTAGCAGTTCAGGTTTACCTTGAACACTTTGCTGCTTAGAAATGTCTTCCACCAGGTACTCTAAATCATCTCTCTCAAGTTCAAAATTCTACAGATCCCTAGAGCTGGGGCACAATGCCACCAATCTCTGCTAAAGCATATCAAGAGTGATCTTTACTCCAGTTCCCAATAAGTTTCTCATTTCCATCTGAGACCTCCTCAACCTAGTCTTCACCATCCATATCACTATCTGCATTTTGGTCACAACCATTCAGCAAGTCTCTAGGAATTCCAAACTTTCCCTCATCTTCCTGTCTTCTTCTGAGCCCTTTGAACTCTTCAAACTTCTGCCCATTACCCAGTTCCAAAGCCATTTCCACCACATTTTCAGATATCTTTACAGCAATGCCCCATTCCTGGTACCAATTTTCTATATTACTCTGTTCTTGCATTGCCATAAAGAAATACCTGAGACTGGGTAATTTACAAAGTAAAGAGGTTTAATTGATTCACACTTCTGCAGGCTGTAGAGGAAACATTGCTGGGAAGGCCTCGGTAAACTTACAATCATAGTGGAAGGTGAAGGGGAGGCAGGCATGTTTTACATGGCTGAAACAGGAGGAAGAGAGAGAGAGGGGAGGTGTCGCACACTTTTAAACAACCAAATCTCGAGACAACTCACTCACTGTCATGAGAAGAGCACCAAATGGGAAATATACCTCCAAAATTTAATTACCTCCCACTGAGCTCCAACTCCAATATTGGGTATTACCGTATGACTTGAGATTTGGGTGGGAACACAGACCCAAACCATATTAGAACCTGGTATGCTCCACCCCCAGGTAAATCTCCAGACATTTGAAGTACTCCTTCACCCGGATCAGCAGGTGGATCTTCTTGTGTGTAGATCATGGTGCAGTAGGGCCCTCTCTACTCCACACCTAGACATTTTGGACATTATCCAAATCACCAGGCATTTGAAGCACTTGCTCAAATGAACTAGCAGTTTCAGCCATGCTGTCTTTCCTGTGCAAAGATCCTGGTGCAGGGGAGGCCTTTGTGCTTCATACTGAGGCAGATCTTCAGGCATTTGGAGAACCTGCTCAACTGGGTGGCAACCCAAGTCACCCCATCCACTCTGTGCAGAGATGAATAAAACTGGACTCCTATCTCTCACTATATACAAAAATTAACCCAAGAAGGATTAAATATTTAAATGTAAGGCCTCAAAGTATAAGGACCCTAGCAGAAAATCTAGGAATACCATTTTAGACATGAGCCTTGGGATAGAATTAGTGACTAAGTCCTCAAAAGCAATTCCAACAAAACCAAAAATTGATAAGTTGAACCTAATTAAACTAAAAGGCTTCTGAATAGCAAAAGAAAACACTTAACAGTAAATAGACAACCTACAGAATGAAAGAAACTATTTGCAAACTATGCATATGACAAAGTTCTAATATCCAGAATCCATAGAGAACTTAAACTATTGAAAGAGCAACAAGAGCAAAACTCCATCTCAAAAAAATATGTAGGCAAAAGACATGGACACTTCTCAAAAGAAGACATACAAGTGGCCAGCAGACATATGAAAAAATGCTCATCACTAAACATCAGAGAGAAATGCAAATTGAAACCATGATGAGATATTATTTCACACCAGTTAGAATGGCTATTATTAAAAAGTGAAAAAACAACAGATTCTGGGCAAGGCTATGGAGAAAATAAAATGTTTATACATTGTTGGTGGAAATATAAATTAATTCAGCCACTGTAGAAAGCAGTTTGGACATTTCTCAAAGAACTAAAAACAACTACCATTCCACCCAGGTTTATATCCAAAAGAAAATAAATCATTCTACCAAAAAGACACACATACTCTTATGTTCATGGAATCAACCTAGATGCCCATCCACAGTGGATTGGACAAAAAAAAAAAAAATGTCGTACATATATACCATGGAATACCATGCAGCCATAAAAAATGAAATCATGTTCTTTGCAGCAATGTGGATGCAGCTGGAGGCCATTATCCTAAGTGAATTAACACAGGAACAGAAAACCAAATACCACATGTTGTCACTTATAAATGGGAGCTAAACACTTGGTAATTATGGATATAAAGATGGCAACAATAGACATGGGGGATTTCTAGTGGAGAGATGGAAGGAGTGGTCAAGGGCTGAAAAACTATCTATTGGGTACTATGCTCAGTACCTGGGTGAAAAGATCATTCATACCCCAAACCTCAGCATCACACAATATACCCAGGTAACAAACCTGCACATATACCCCCTGAATCTAAAATAAAATATAAAATTATTTAAAAAAAATATAGCTCAGGAAAAAATCAACTCAAAACAGATTAAGGAATTGAATGTAAAACCAGAAATTATAAAACTACAAGAAGAAATCATAGGCAAAATCTTCATGACATTGGTCTTGGTGATTTTTTTTTTTACAGACTGCAAAGGCACAGGTAACAAAAGCACAGTTAGACAAATGGCATTACATCAAACTAAAAGGCATCTGCACAGCCAAGGAAATATTCAACATGTGAAGAGACTACCTAGCAAATGAAAGAAAATGTTTGACACATGAGAAGGGGTTAATATCCAAAATATATAAGTAACTCCAACAATTCAATAGCAGGAAAACAATATGATTTTAAAATGGGCAAAGGACTTGAACAGACATTTCTCAAAAGACCACATACAGTCAATAGGTACATGAAAAAATGCTGAACATTACTAATCAATTATAAAATGCAAATTAAAACCACAATGATTACCTTACACATATTAGAGTAGGTATTATTAAAAAGAAAAAAGATAAATGTTGGCAAAAATGCAGATTAAGGGGAATTCTTGTACACCTGGTGGGAATGTAAATTAGTTAGAGTCATTATGAAAAACAGCATGGTGGTTCCTCAAAAACAATATACATATGTAACTACCAGATGATCCAGCTATCCCACTACTGGATACATATTCAGAGGACATGAAATCAGTATGCTGAAGAGATCAGCACTCTTATATTCATTGCACCATTATTCACAATAGCTAAGATATGGAATCAACCTAAGTGTTCATTAATGGATGAATGGATTAAAAAAATCATATATATACACAATGGAATACTATTCAGTCATAAAAAAGAAGGAAATTCTGTCATTCGTGGAAACATTAATGGAACTGGAGGTCATTATATTAAATTAAATAAGCCAGGCATAAAAAGACAAATACTGCATGACCTCACTTACATGTGGAATCTAAAAAAGTTGAACTCATAGAAACAGAGAGCAGAATGGTGGTTACCAGGGGCTGGGGTGGAGGAAGTTAAGGAGATGTTGGTCAGAGGATACAAAATTTCAGTGAAGAGGAGTAAATTCAGGAGAATTACCTGGTGTACAACCTGGTGACTACAGTTAATATGAACACATTCTATTCTCAAAAATCACTGAGATTTTAAATGTTCCCACCACAAAAAAGGATATGTGAGGTAATGCATATGTATATTTATTTACCCTATGAGATATACACATTTCAGAACCTCACATTGAACACACAATATATGCAATATTTTTGTCAATTAAAAAAGCAAATGGTTGCGGGGGAGGGGGGTGGGCAAAACAGTCCCCAAACTGTTACATTGCTCTTTAAATGTAAATAAGGAAATTAAATGTTATAAAAAATTTGACATTTACCATCATCTGTTAAAAATATCAATATATATTGGAGTTCTTTAAATAGCTGAAAAAATCTCCATTGTTACCTTTTCTTCTTGAAATCATATTTTTATTTCATTTTCCCTCAGAATTTTATTCCAATGTATTATTTTATGTTTAAATATATTATATATCATTCTACAAAGTTCTCTGCAATAAAAATATGTATATGAATGAAAATAATATTTTCTCAAAGACTGCATGTTTTAGTGTAAGTTATATTAGGTTATTAATATGAATGTTATTGATAATTATCAAACCTAGAAATTGAAATTTTATGACAAGACATTGCCTTGTCAGATAGTTTTCTTTTTGTCTACTTAAATAATGTATCCATGGATAAATAGGACTTACTGATAGAATGAGACAGGATTCAGCATTAACTATATTCTTTTTTATATAGTAAATGAGAAATATTTATTTACATAGTAAATAAAGAATATAATTTTTTATAACATCACTCAATTCTTAGAAATTCTTCCAAGTCATACTTTCAAATTCATAGTGATATGTTATCAAAAATTATATTTAAAAATCTAGCTATTGACCACTGTTATACCTCCCTTTAATTTTGTTGAAGACAAAAAAACAGAAAAGTGCTGACTTAAAAGCATTCTTTAACCTGGCCCTTAGAATAACTTTCTCACTTACTGGGAAATACATCAAGAAGGCTTTATCAAGACTTATCAATGCCTTTTTTTTTTTTTTTTTTTTTGAGATAGGGTTGCTCAGGCTGGAATGCAGTGGTGGGATCATGGCTCACGGCAAAGTTGACCTCCCAGGTTTAAGCAATCCTCTCTCCTGAGATGAAAGTCCCCTTATACCAACTATGCTTTCATTTAGAGGAAACTTGTTTATGGAGCTAACACTAGATGGCAATTGAGTAAAACCACCGCCCGCCAAAAAAAAAAAAAAAAAAAAAACAAAAAAACACAACAACAAAGAAACCCTGGAAATTGTGCATTTTAGGACTTTTCCCATTGACTGTGAATCCAGACCTACATATTCATCTAAATTACAATTTTCCAGGTAATCTCAAAGTACCTTGGAAAGATGTGAGGTTAGAAAGAGTCACATTCTTGAGTATTTTTATACATAGATAGATTGGTAGTTTCATTTTATAGTTTAAGACAACTGCTCACACATTTGAAAGAATTGAACAGCATATCTGCTTTGGAGAGGGAGAAAAAACACTAATAGAGTGAGTTTTCTAAACTTCAAGACATTATATCCTAGATTGCTCTGGAAACATTTTATCCTATTTCCATACACAAGGAAATGTTTTGCTTTAAAGGTACATTTTAACTGCTTTGTGGAAAACAAATGAAAGACAAAAAAAAAAAAAAAAAAAAAGAGGTATTGGGCCACCAGTAAATGTAGAACTTACAAGAAGTGAATTGACAATTTTTAACTATGTATAATAAAATCAATAACATATTTCTATTAAGTCAACCTAAATCTAATAAACACACAATAGAAATGAATGAGCAGAGAAGGGAGTGACAAGAGGCAGCAAACAGGAGGTTTCAAATTGCTTAAATATTTTAGTAATGAGTTAATAAAATTGTTTCTTTTACATGTCTGAATAAATGTTTAATATAAAATGCTAACTTACCTTCAATATGTGTTCCTTTTATTTGAAGCTGTAACACTGGTTGACTGAGGAGACTTTTCACCTCATCCTTGAAATCATGAACACATACACCTGTGCCCTAGATGAAGCAGCAGCTGAATTGAGTTCTTCTCAAGCTCTTTTCATTAAAAAAAAAAAAAAAATGCAGAGGGTTGAACCTCATACTCGACTGGATTTTCCGAAATGCCTACCGCATATCTCAAATAGTCTATTCTCGGGCAGATAGAAGGGTACTCCACAAAGCCTTGCCTTGAGTTTGTTGCTTGGGTAAAATAAGGCACTGAAGCTTCCACGTTTTTCCTGTATTCTCTCTCATTGCTTTGCTCTCATAGCATTCTCCTTAACGTGATGTGTTCCTTGGTAGTAGTCCAGAGATGGAAGAGGGGAAGTTGGCAAATGAAATCATCCTCATTTCTTCTGCCCCATCCTACAAAATATCTGAATTCAGAACATCTTAACTCTCTTTTCCTGGGTTCTCCCATAGCAGAGCCTAAAACAAATGCTTGCATACAGGGAGGAGTGACACAGGTGAGTGAAGGAGGAAGCAGGAGAGCCAATAAAGGAAGCTTTATTCAGCTGGCTACTATTATAAGAGATTGGCTGCTGGATAACAGTGGATCATCAGAGAATCCTAACGAAATGTGTCTCAGGATTGTCTCTTGGTGAACAGAGGGGGAAGCCTTTATCTACCTCCTGCCATGGTTCAAGGATTACTCTACAGAGTTACTTCCCACACAGCTGGGTTGCATTTGTGTGAGTTCCCACTGGTATCCATATCAGAGAAACTGAAGCCAGAAGCTTCTAGGTTGTACCTGCATGAAGCTGGTCAAAGCCTTTGAAGAACTGGACATGGGAATAAGAGGTGAGATGAAAAGGAGTGAAAGCTGTCACAAAAGGAGATGGATACAGAACATAGGCTTCTAGAGCCAGGCTGTGCCCTTAACAGAAATGTGTAAGGGAAAAACGTAGGCTCATCATATGTTTTTGGTGCCTTAATCAATTCAAAAGGACTTTGCTCAAGGCTAAAATCTTGATGTGTTTCTTTGACCCATTGGAAGTTTTTATATTCTAAGGAAATTTATCTGATTACCATTAGGGATAGATGAGGAGAATGCCTTTCTTTTGTGAAGGGGAAAGATGGTGACTGCTAATGGAGAAGTGAGAAAGGAGAATTTTTTCAGTGCCTGAACCCAAAGTGTGTAGGTCAGTTTTAGGAGGGTTCATATGGAATTTTAGGATATGGAAATTGATCCCCTTAAGACTTTTCTTGACAGCAGATCAATATTCTACATGGGTTTACACATTCACTTTTGAAGTTATTTAAAGCTCAGGTGGAGAAATTAGCCTTCAGGATGAGGAGGCATTTCTCAATCATTTTTAGTACAAGAGAGGGCAGAGGTTTTGTGCTGTGATTCTAGCACTCAGGCTTAATGTCATGAAGCTGCCTTCCATGATCTCTGCACTCTTCTGCCACATTTCCACCAATTTACGCTCAGCCTTCTGTGTGGAATTCTCTTTGCTGTGTCTCATTCAATGTGGCAGCGATTCCAGATTCTGTCCTTGGTTCTCTTCTCCTTAATCTCCAGTCTCTATGCTATTCCAGGAGATCTCCTTCATTTTCATGGTTTTAACTGCCAGCTATACATGGATGATAACCAAATATTTATCTTTATGAATATTCTCCTAAAGCTGCAGATCTACTCATCCACCTGCCTCATGGATATCCTCCTCAGGAATGTCTCAATTGAGACTGGAATTCAACATGCATTAATTCTTTGTCTTCCCTGCCATGCCCAAATCTACACTTCCTTCCCCTTACTCCCCATTCCAGTGAGCACAATCATTATCCACTCATTCCAACAGGCTAGAAAACTGAAAGGCACCCTGGACTTCCTTCTGCACTTTGCACATCAGACTTCTGTTGAGTTTATTTCTCCTTCTTCCTTCCTTCTTTCTTCCTTCTTCCTTCTTCTTATTTTTTATTTATTTATTTTTTTTTTGAGATGGAGTCTCACTCTGTCACCAAGGCTGGAGTGCAGTGGCTCAATTCCAGCTCACTGCAACCTTCGCCTCCCAGGTTCAAGTGATTCTCCCACCTCAGCCTACCAAGTAGCTGGGATTACAGGTGCTTGCTACCATGCCTGTCTAATTTTTGTATTTTTACTAGAGACAAGGCCATGTTGGCCAGGCTGGTCTTGACCTCCTGACCTCAAGTGATCCACCCACCTTGGCCTCCCAAAGTGCTGGGATTACAGGCATGAACCACCGTACCTGGCCTGATTTTACTTCTTAAACGCTTTTACATTCATCTACTTTTCTCCATCATCAGTGCCACTTACTCCAGAACTCCCTTATATCTTGCATGGATCATTGTAAAAGCCTCCAAACTGGTCTTACTACTTCCATTCATTTTAACCCTCTATTCTATTGCCCAAATTGCTCCCCAAGAGTGATCTCAATAAAATTTAAATCAAATCATGTTACTCCCTTACTTAAAATTCAGACTTTCAAGTGCCACAGGATAAAATGCCAACTGCTTATTATGACTTACAAGATCCTTCATGATTTAACTCTATCAGTGTTACCCAAAATAAGCAGTTACGCAAATACAGTTTTTCCACCTGGAATGCCCTTGTAAACATAATTGAATCTCATTAATGCCACACTGTGTTGAGGGACTGTTTATCTGGTTATCCTCAATTTTGGGGGGAATGGAGTCTTTTTTTTAATTATGAAATATTTCAAGCACATAGGAAAGCAAAGAGAAATACTGAGAAATACCACCAAGTTTTGTCAAATCTTAAAACCTTGACATATTCCTGCAGATATATGTTCTTTTCAAGAAATAAGTCACTGCAGATACAGTTGAAGCCCCTCATTACCTCTTTCCCTTCCTATTGTGTCTCCCACTGAAAACAGTGGGGTGAGGAAGTCACTCTACTGAAATTGGTGTTTATCATTTTATACTCTTACTATGTTTCTTATATATCCACAAGTTATATATGGTATTGTGTTACACATTTTAAGTTTATGTATATGGTATGGTATATATCCTGCAACTTGTTCAGATGCTCAATCAATGCTTTTGAGATTTATCCAGGCTCTAATTCTGAAGTACCAGTTAATATTCTACTGTATGAATCTACCATAAGGCATTCATCCATTTTCCCATTGATGGATATTTAGATTGTTTCCAATTTTCCTCTATTATGAATAATGCTGCAGTGAACATTTTGTGTGTATCTCTTCTGTGCATATGTGAGAGGATTTTCTTAGGTTACATACCTAGGATGAAATTGCTAGTAGAAGGACATGCACAAATTAAACTTTAGTACTTATATTTCTCCAAAAGTTCTTACAGAAAAATTTTAGTATAAATTTTTCTCCAAAGGCAGTAGAATCTGGACCCTACTAGTCAGGTAAAGTTTGAGTATGAATCTAGTCCAAATATTTAACTCTACTTAAGAAGATGTTTTTTTTTCTATACCTTCTTTTGTGCTACAATGGCAGAGCTGAGTAGTTGAACAGAGATCATATGGAACAGATATCAAAAAGCTTAAACTATTTACTATCTTGTGTTCACTATAGAAAATGTTTGCCAACTAAGAAGAGGTTCTTAAATTAGCAACTTTGTGAAGTTTATAAGAGGGCCTTATAGTGATTGAGTCTATATTTGTTTATGAGAATTTCAGTGCATACTATGTGTCTGTGCATGTTTGAGTACATGTGCATGTGTTTTGTTTATATAAGCAAGAAAGGAATGATGCGTGTTTGACATCAGTCTCTAGCTTCTTCTTTCTGAACTGGCTTTCTTCTGAGTGTTCAGGTGCTCAGAGCCTTTTCTTTTCTTTTTTTTTTTTCTTTTCTTTTCTTTTCCTTCTTTCTTTTTTTTTTTTTTTTTTTTGAGACAGAGTCTCACTCTATTGCTCAGCCTGGAGTGCAGTGTCATGATCTCTGCTCACTGCAACCTCTGCCTCCTGGGTTCAACAATCCTCCTGCCTCAGCCTCCCGAGTAGCTGGGATTACAGGCATGCACCACCACGCCCGGCTAATTTTGTATTTTTAGTAGAGATGGGGTTTCGTCATGTTGGTCATGCTGGTCTTGAAGTCCTCACCTCAGGTGTTCCGCCCACCTCAGCCTCCCAAAGTGCTGGGATTATGGGTGTGAGCCACCACAGCTGGCCTCCATTTCTTTTCATTCATGCAGTCAGTCAATAAATATTTATTGGGTGCCTATTGTATAACTGGCAATATTGTAGGTGCTGGGGGTACACCAGTGAACACAGCAGATAATGTTCTGACCCTCAAGAACTTATATTCTGATGGAGGTAGACAGACAAATAAATATACACATATATCATGTGGCAATTGTGCAATTTAGAAAAAGCAGGGAAAGGGGAATAGAAAATGTTCGAGTCAGGGGGGAGAGTTGCTGTTTTATAAAAAGTGCTCCTTGAAGACATTATTACAAAGGTGTATTTTAAATATAAATAAAGTCAGGAAGGGAACCATGTGATTCCATGAGGTAAGACCTTTTGAAGCAGAGGAAATAGTAAGTGCAAAGGTCCTGAAGTGGGGGAGTGCTTGGCACTTTTGAGGACTAGCAATGAGGTCAACATGGCTGAGGCAGAGCCAGCAGAGAGTAGGCAAATATGATAGCAGGTGAGGTCAGGATAGTGCTGGGAGGGAACTGTTGATTTTACTCTGACTCAGGTAGGAAGTCATTGGACAGATCTGAGCAGAGGAATGCCGTGATCTGATTTACATTTTTGAACAATCATTCTGATAACAGGAATAGATAGAAGCAGGGAGGCCCATTGTGGAGGCTATTACAATATTCCCAATGAGAGATGATTGCCCCATGGACTAGGATTTTTGCAATAGAAATTCTGAGAAAGGGTGAGATTCTGGATGTATTTTGGAAGAAGAGTCAATAAGATTTGGTGCTGAGGTTGAATATGGGATGTGAGTGAAAAAGAAGACTCATGGGTGACCAAGATTTCTGACATGAATAATAAAAAATGGAGATGCTATTACTTAGGTGGGGAAGATCTAAGTAATGGCAACCTGTAGGAACAGGATGAGGAGGGAGTAAAGAGTTTCTTTTGAGATATGTTAAGGCTGAGATTTCTGTGAGACTTACAAGTAGAATTCTTTAGTAGGCAGTGAGATATATGGACTTGAAATTCATGGTTGAGATCCAGACCAGAGGCTTGAATTTTGGAGTCATCAACATGCAGACACTTTTCAAAAGTATGAGACTGGGTGAGATCTCTTAGGAAGTTAATTTGAATAGATTAAAGAAGAAAGAGGACTGAGGGCCTTGTCCTGAGGCCCTCCAACATTTAGAGTGCAAAGAAATGAGGGAGAAACTGCAAAGGAGACCTAAGGAGTGGTCTTAGAGATTGGAAGAGAAGCAAGAGACTGTGCTGTCCCAGAAGCCAAAGGAAGAAAGTATTTCCAAAAAGAGTATGTAGTATATTCTATTAAATGTTGCCAGTAGATGAAATTGTAAGGATTGAAAATCAATTTTGAATTCAGCAACAAAATGGTTATTGGTGTCCTTGGCATAATGTATTTTAGTGAAGCAGTAGCATCATATGACTGTTTGGAGAAGGTTCAAGAGAAAATATGAGGGTGGAGCCAAGATGGCCAAGGAGGAAGAGCTCCAGTCTACGGCTCCCAGCATGAGCAATGCAGAAGAGGAATGATATCTGCATTTCCAACTGAGGTACCGGGTGCATCTCACTGGGAATTGTCAGACCGGGGTGCAGTGCACCGAGCCTGAGCCAAAGCAGGGCAAGGCATCACCTCACCAGGGAAGTGCAAGGGGTCAGGGAATTCTCTTTCCTAGCCAAGGAAAGGGGTGACGGACGGCACCTGAAAAATCGGGTCACTCCCACCCTAATACTGCACTTTTCCAACAGTCTTAGCAAACGGCACACCAGGAGATTATATTGTGTGCCTGGCTCAGAGGGTCCTATGCCCACTGAGCCTTGCTCATTGCCAGCACAGTAGTCTGAGATCAAACTGCTAGGCAGCAGCAAGGCTGGAGGAGGGGTGCCCGCCATTCCTCAGGCTTGAGTAGGTAAACAAAGCAGCTGGGAAGCTCGAACTGGGTGGAGCCCACTGCAGCTCAAGGAGGCCTGCCTGCCTCTATAGACTCCACCTATGGGGACAGGGCATAGCCAAACAAAAGACAGCAGAAACCTCTGCAGACTTCAATGTCCCTGTCTGACAGCTTTGAAGAGAGTAGTGGTTCTCCCAGCACGCAGATGGAGATCTGAGAACAGACAGACTGCCTCCTCAAGTGGGTCCCTGACCCCCAAGTAGCGTAACTGGGAGGCACCCCCCAGTAGGGGCAGACTGACACCTCACATGGCTGGGTACTCCTCTGAGACAAAATGTCCAGAGGAATGATCAGGCAGCAACATTTTCTGTTCAGCAATATCTGCTGTTCTGCAGCCTCCACTGCTGATACCCAGGCACCTGGTCTGTAGTGGACCTCCAGCAAACTCCAACAGACCTGCAGCTGAGGGTCCTGACTGTTAGAAGGAAAACTAACAAACAGGACATCCACACCAAAACTCCATCTGTAGGTCACCATCATCAAAGACCAAAGTTAGATAAAACCACAAAGATGGGGAGAAAAACAGAGCAGAAAAACTGAAAAATCTAAAAATCAGAGCACCTCTCCTCCTCCAAAGGAACACAGCTCCTCACCAACAATGGAACAAAGCTGGACGGAGAATGACTTTGATGAGTTGAGAGAAGAAGGCTACAGATGATCAAACTACTCCGAGCTAAAGGAGGAAGTTTGAACCCATGGCAAAGAAGTTAAAAACCTTGAAAAAAGATTATACAAATGGCTAACTAGAATAACCAATGCAGAGAAGTCCTTATAGGGCCTGATGGAGCTGAAAACCATGGCATGAGAACTACGTGATGAATGCACAAGCCTCAGTAGCCTATTCAATCAACTGGAAGAAAGGGTATCAGTGATGGAAGATCAAATGAATGAAATGAAGCAAGAAGAGAGTTTAGATAAAAAAGAATAAAAAGAAACGAACAAAGCCTCCAAGAAATATGGGACTATGTGAAAAGACCAAATTTATATCTGATTGGTGCACCTGAAAGTGACGTGGAGAATGGAACCAAGTTGGAAAACACTCTGCAGGATATTATCCAGGAGAACTTCCCCAATCTAGCAAGGAAGGCCAACATTCAAATTCAGGAAATACAGAGAACACCAGAAAGATATTCCTTGAGAAGAGCAACTCCAAGACACATAATTGTCAGATTCACCAAAGTTGAAATGAAGGAAAAAATGTTAAGGGCAGCCAGAGAGAAAGGTCAGGTTACCCACAAAGGGAAGCCCATGAGACTACAAGCTGGTCTCTCGGCAGAAACTCTACAAGCCAGAAGAGAGTGGGGGCCAATATTCAACATTCTTAAAGAAAAGAATTTTCAACCCAGAATTTCATATCCAGCCAAACTAAGCCTCATAAGTGAAGGAGAAATAAAATTCTTTACAGACAAGCAAATGCTGAGAGATTTTGTCACCACCAGGCCTGCCCTAAAAGAGCTCCTGAAGGAAGCACTAAACATGGAAAGGAACAACAAGTACCAGCCACTGCAAAAACATGCCAAATTGTAAAGACCCTCCAGGCAAGGAAGAAAGTGCATCAACTAACGAGCAAAATAACCAGCTAACATCATAATGACAGGATCAAATTCACACATAATGTTATTAACTTTAAATGTAAATGGGCTAAATGCTCCAATTAAAAGGCACAGACTGGCAAATTGGATAAAGAGTCAAGACCCATCAGTGTGCTGTATTCAGGAAACCCATTTCATGTGCAAAGACACACATAGGCTCAAAATAAAAGGATGGAGGAAGATCTACCAAGAAAATGGAAAACAAAAAAACGCAGGGGTTGCAGGCCTAGTCTCTGATAAAACAGACTTTAAGCCAACAAAGATCAAAAGAGACAAAGAAGGCCATTACATAATAGTAAAGGGATCAATTCAAGAAGAAGAGCTAATTATCCTAAATATATATGCACCCAATACAAGAGCACCCAGATTCATAAAGCAAGTCCTTAGAGACCTATAAAGAGACTTAGACTCCCACACAATAATAATGGGAGACTTTAACACCCCACTGTCGACATTAGACAGATCAATGAGACAGAAAGTTAACAAGGATATCCAGGAATTGAACTCAGCTCTGCACCAAGTGGACCTAATAGACTTCTACAGAACTCTCCACCCCAAATCAATAGAATATACATTCTTTTCAGCACCAGACCACACCTATTCCAAAATTGACCACACAGTTGGAAGTAAAGCACTCCTCAGCAAATGTAGAAGAACAAGAATTATAACAAACTGTCTCTCAGACCACAGTACAATCAAACTAGAACTCAGGATTAAGAAACTCACTCAAAACCGCTCAACGACATGGAAACTGAACAACCTGCTTCTGAATGACTATTAGGTACATAACAAAATAAAGGCAGATATAAAGATGATCTTTGAAACCAATGAGAAAAAAGACATAGCATACCAGAATCTCTGGGACACATTCAAAGCAGTGTGTAGAGGAAAATTTATAGCACTAAATGCCCACAAGAGAAAGCAGGAAAGATCTAAAATGGACACCCTAACATTACAATGAAAAGAACTAGAGAAGCAAGAGCAAACACCTTCAAAAGCTAGCATAAGGCAAGAAACAACTATAATCAGAGCAGAACTAAAGGAAATAGAGACACAAAAATCCCTTCAAAAGATCAGTGAATCCAGAAGCTGGTTTTTTGAAAAGATCAACAAAATTGATAGACTGCTAGCAAGACTAATAAAGAAGATAAGAGAGAAGAATAAAATAGATGCAATAAAAAATGATAAAGGGGGTATCACCACTGATCCCACAGAAATACAAACTACCATCAGAGAATACTATAAACACCACTATGCAAATAAACTAGAAAATCTGGAAGAAATTTATAAATTACTTGACACATACACTCCCCCAAGACTAAACCAGGAAGAAGTTGAATCTCTGAATAGAACAATAACACGATCCGAAATTGAGGCAATAATCAATAGCTTACCAACCAAAAAAAGTCCAGGACCAGATGGATTCACAGCCGAATTCTACCAGAGGCACAAGGAGGAGCTGGTACCATTCCTTCTGAAACTATTCCAATCAATAGAAAAAGAGGGAATCCTCCCTAACTCATTTTATGAGGCCAACATCATCCTGATACCAAAGCCGGGCAGAGACACAACCAAAAAAGAGAATTTTAGACCAATATCCTTGATGAACATTGATGCAAAAATCCTCAACAAAATACTGGCAAACCGAATCCAGCAGCACATCAAAAAGCTTATCCACCATGATCAAGTGGACTTGATCCCTGGGATGCAAGGCTGGTTCAACACACGCAAATCAATAAATGTAATCCAGCATATAAACAGAGTCAAAGACAAAAACCACATGATTATCTCAATAGATGCAGAAAAGGCCTTTGACAAATTTCAACAACACTTCATGCTAAAAAATCTCAATAAATTAGGTATTGATGGGCGTATCTCAAAATAATAAGAGCTATCTATGACAAACCCACAGCCAATATCATCCCAAATGGGCAAAAACTGGAAGCATTCCCTTTGAAAACTGGCACAAGACAGGGATGCCCTCTCTCACCATTCCTATTCAACATAGTGTTGGAAGTTCTGGCCAGGGCACTCAGGCAGGAGAAAGAAATAAAGGGTATTCAATTAGGAAAAGAGGAAGTCAAATTGTCCCTGTTTACAGACAACATGATTGTATATCTAGAAAACCCCATTGTCTCAGCCCAAAATCTCCTTAAGCTGATAAGCAACTTCAGCAAAGTCTCAAGGTACAAAATCTATGTGCAAAAATCACAAGCATTCTTATATGCCAACAAAAGACAAACAGAGAGCCAAATCATGAGTGAACTCCCATTCACAAGTGCTTCAAAGACAATAAAATACCTAGGAATCTAACTTACAAGGGATGTGAAGGACCTCTTCAAAGAGAATTACAAACCACTGCTCAATGAAATAAAAGAGGATACAAAGAAATGGAAGAACATTCCATGCTCATGGGTAGGAAGAATCAATATCATGAAAATGGCCATACTGCCCAAGGTAGTTTATAGATTCAATGCCATCCCCATCAAGCTACCAATGACTTTCTTCACAGAATTGGAAAAAACTACTTTAAAGCTCATATGGAACGAAAAATGAGCCTGCATTGCCAAGTCAATCCTAAGCCAAAAGAACAAAGCTGGAGGCATCATGCTACCTGACTTCAAACTATACTACAAGGCTACAGTAACCAAAACAGCATGGTACTGGTACCAAAACAGAGATATAGACCAATGGAACAGAACAGAGCCCTCAGAAATAATGCCACATATCTACAACTATCTGATCTTTGACAAACCTGAGAAAAACAAGCAATGGGGAAAGGATTCCCTATTTAATAAATGGTGCTGGGAAAACTGGCTAGCCATATGTAGAAAGCTGAAACTGGATCCCTTCCTTACACTTTATACTAAAATTAATTCAAGATGGAGTAAAGATTTAAATGTTAGACCTAAAACCATACAAACCCTAGAAGAAAACCTAGGCAATGCCATTCAGGACATAGGCATGGGCAAGGACTTCATGCCTAAAACACCAAAAGCAATGGCAACAAAAGCCAAAATTGACAAATGGGTTCTAATTAAATTAAAGAGATTCTGCACAGCAAAAGAAACTACCCTCAGAGTGAACAGGCAACATAGAGAATGGGAGAAAATTTTTGCAATCTACTTATCTGACAAAGGGCTAATATCCAGAATCTACAATGAACTCCAACAAATTTACAAGAAAAAAACAAACAACCCCATCAAAAAGTGGGCAAAGGATATGAACAGACACTACTCAAAAGAAGACATTTATGCAGCCAAAAGACACATGAAAAAATGCTGGCCATCAGAGAAATGCAAATCAAAACCACAATGAGATACCATCTCACAACAGTTAGAATGGCGATCATTAGAACGTCAGGAAACAGCAGGTGCTGGAGAGGATGTGGAGAAATAGGAACACTTTTACACTGTTGGTGGGACTGTAAACTAGTTCAAGCATTGTGGAAGTCAGTGTGGCGATTCCTCAGGGATCTAGAAGTAGAAATACCATTTGACCCAGTCATCCCATTACTGGGTGTATATACCCAAAGGATTATAAATCATGCTGCTATAAAGACACATGCACACGTATGTTTATTGTGGCACTATTCACAACAGCAAAGACTTGGAACCAACCCAAATGTCCAGCAATGATAGACTGGATTAAGAAAATATGGTCCATATACACCATGGGATACTATGCAGCCATAAAAAATGATGAGTTCATGTCTTTGTAGGGACATGGATGAAGCTGGAAACCATTATTCTCAGCAAACTATCGCAAAGACAAAAAACCAAACACCACATGTTCTCACTCATAGGTGGGAATTGAACAATGAAAACACATGGACACAGGAAGGGGAACATCACACACTGGGGCCTGTTGTGGGGTCGGGGGAGGGGGAGGGATAGCATTAGGAGATATACCTAATATTAAATGACGTGTTAATGGGTGCAGCACACCAACATGGCACATGTATATATATGTAACAAACCTGCACATTGTGCACATGTACCCTAAAACTTAAAGTATAATTAAAAAAAAAACAAAAAACAAATTCTAGGGGTTACACACTTAAAAAAAAAAAGAAAATGTGAAGAGAGGAATTGGAGAAAAAGGAAATAGTTCCTTGGCAATAGTGGTTCTGGATATTCACTCCAATTATAATACTTCATTCTTAGGGCCAGGTCGGTATGTCCTTTCCTGACCTTTCTGCATAGTGAATTCATATTCACACTTCAAACCCATGCTTACCATATCTGCATGTGTGGATTCTTTTTGGTCTTTCAGATAGAACAAATCATTTTCTGCTTTATATGTGTTTTCAGCATAAACAGATTGTAGTACATAATTTCTTCTCCACCAGGCAGTAACTTCATGACAGCAAGTGTTGTGATTTTCTAGAATTCTCAGTGCTAAGTATAGTGTCTGCCTATCATTTAGTAATGTTCAGTTAATGTTTGTTGATCTAAACTGAATTATCTTAAAGAAATGTAGGGTCCATGTTTTCCCTTCCATTTCCAAAGGCATAATTGTGTGCCCTGCACCATGCCTTCTCCCTCACCTCCCACTCTCCTGTCCACCCACCGGGAGCCTCAAACAGGATTCCTGTGGGAAGTTTGGCAAAGCCCTTGTTTTCATTTTTACTTTTATTATCATAAGTTCTTCCAGTTGAAGTCAGAGGGGCCCTCGCTGATGCATACAGCCAAGGAGTCTGCTTGGTGTCTTTGATGTGTTCCATCATATTGATTTGTGGTGGCATGAAATGGGTGACCCCATAATGTTCCTTTTTTCCATATATCATTAGGCCCAGCTAAGGGCTTTGTGAGTTTTCTACTCAGGCAACTGTGTTTTCCTAATATGCCTTCACCAAATGCTGACATCATTTCATCTCCAGAATCATATCAGTTGTATTAGAAACAGTCTTTTATTGCACTTTGGAAGCATTTTGAGATGACATATTATTTATTTCTATATTCAATCGGCTGTTCTTTTCTTTCTCTGGCTCTTCAATTACAGCTGTTGAACCACAGCTGTAATTTGGAGTCTTAGCTCAAAGTGACTGCTCTGTGTTTTTCTCAAGGGTCAGAAAATCGAATCTGTATTCTGCTAGTCAGGCACACTGTAAAGAGTGCCACCTTCACCTGGGTTGTTTGGAAGGCCCATAGGTCTTGGTAACTTGGTGGATTTTGATGCACAGCCATGAGTTCCACAGGGCATTAATTCTGCTCCATTGCCTGTCCATTTGAACTAAAAAGTGCCAGTGAATACATTATACTTGAGGACCTCCAAATCCCACTTTAGTTCTTGAGGTCACTGATGTTTGCTATCTTTTGGTATCCAGAGCACATTTGAAGTGTGTTGCTATTGTGTCCTTTTTCATTTATCTTTGACAAATGCATCAGCTCTTGCTCTTGAGGAAATTAACATTTCCTTTGGTTCACAAAGCAAGATTATTTGGAAAGGTCAATGTATGTGGCACAGCACTCTGTTATGTTTCTACAGAGACACGTGTCTGGTATATTTCAGTGATGCCTCAGCTTAAAGGCTAGCTTATTTATACTGAATAGCCACATAGAAATGATCGCTATAAATTCATTTGTTATTTGAAAGAAACTGCTTTCATGTAGATTTTATGAGGGAATCCATTAAAAGAAATATTATCAAACCTGAGCTTAAGGAGCCATTTCTGTTCTCTTTAAATCAGATTCTAAGTAACAGATGTATTTCTCCATTCTAACATGACACTGATTCAGAATGTGTCATAGAGTGGATTAAGAAAGAGAAACCCATAAAAGATTGACCATAGAGACTTCAGGAGTTTGTCAATCCTGCAGAGAAAAAGCCTATAGGAAAAAAAAGCAAACGTTGAACACAGAAAGGAGCAGTCAGGATGGCAACACAGAGATAAAAGAAGCTACCTTTTCTCTCCTTTCAAGACATGGAACCATGCACAAGATTGACTTGCCTCTGGGCTATGGAAGATCTGAAATGCTGCCCTAAGGAGGTGCCAGAGGATTTCCTCAGCCCAGTGGGTAAAGTAAAAATCTTCAATTTGATTTTGATGGCAGGGAGTGGAGATTTATTCACTTTATATTCTTTTTATGGCTTTCACTGTTCATTATATTTCTTTTAAATTAACTGGTAGAAAACATGCCTGACCTCTGTGTCAGATACTTTCAGGAGGGCCAGTTGGAGATTGGAAATGGGGTAGGGATTTGAAGGGTGAGATTAGACAGCCAGTTTCAACCCTACCTGAATATTAGAATTTCCAGAGGAGCCCAGACTCCACTCATTGTGATGTCTTCATTAATTGCCTTGGAGTGGAAACTGAATAATCTATTTTTTTAAAGTTCCTCAGTTATAATGTGTAGCCAGGCTGGGAACCCTTGAGTTACAGTATATGACAACACAGCAATAGTCCATGAAAGTAATTCCCAGCAGGAATCTAGTGTTAAGCCTACATAGCTTTACTTAAAGGTCTGTAGTTCATTACCTTGGTTATTTAGGTGCAGCTGTGCTGCCGATATTCTCTCAACTTTTGTTGATATGAACAAGATTTTAGTTTTCTTTTATTCTTAGAGGATAGTTTCTTTGGATATAATCTAGGTTGATAAGTTTTCTATTTCATCACCTTAAAAATATCATCCCATTGTCTTCTGGTCTTCTTGGTTTTGGTATAGGAATCAGCTGTTATTATCTTTGTTCTTTTATAATTAATATGGGTTTTTTTTCCTTCTAGCCTCATTTAAGATTTTCCCTTTATTACTTATTTTCAGCAATTTGATTTTGATGTACCTTGGCTTTGTTTTGTTTGTGTGTTCCTGGAATTCGTTGAGCACCTCGGATCTGTTGTTTTATAATTTTCATCACATTTTTGGTCACTATTTCTTCAAATATTTTTATTTCCTGTCTGCTTCTTCTATAGGACTCTAATTATATGTTGTCTTAGTCCATTTTGTGTTGTAACAGAATACTACAGACTGGGTAATTTACAAAGAACAGATTTTTTTTTTCTCATGGATCCAGAGGCTGGGAAGCCCAAAATTGAAGGGCTGCATCTGGTAAGGACCTTCTTGCTGTATCATAATGTGGTGGAAAGCATCACATGACAAGAGAGTGCATGCATGTGAGAGAGGAAGGGGGCCAAACATCATTTTATCAATAATTCACTCTCATAATAACTAACCTACTCCTGAGATAATGGCTTTAATAAATTCATGAGAACAGATCCCTCCTGACCTAATCACATCTTAAAGTTTCCTCCTCTCAATACTGTTGCATTGGGGATTAGGTTTTCAACACACAAATGTTGAAGGACATATTCAAACCACAGCACAGGTATATTAAACTATTTGATATTACCCCAAAGCTCAATGAGGATATGTTTCTTTTTTCTTTTTTCTTTTTTTTTTTTTTTTTTTTGAGATAGAGTCTTGCCCTGTCTCCCAGGCTGGAGTGCAGTGGCATGATCTCAGCTCACTGCAACCCCTGCCTCCCGCGTTCAAGAAATTCTCCTGCCTCAGCCTCTCAAGTAGCTGGGACTACAGGCGCACGCTGCCACGCCTGGTTAATTTTTTTGTATTTTAGTAGAGACGGGCTTTCACTGTGTTGATCAGGCTGGTCTTGAACTCCTGAGCTCAGGCAGTCCACCCACCTTGGTCTCCCAAAGTGCTGGGATTACAGGCATGAACCACCATGCCTGGCCTTCTGCTGTGTCCTATATGCTATTAATCCTACCCAGTGCATTTTTCATTTAAGATTGTGTCTTTAATCTCTGTAAATTCCATTTGAGCTTTTAAAGATATCTTCCATTTTCTCTTCTCAGTCTGTTCTTGTATTTCTTTACCTCCTTAAGCGTATTCATACAATTTATCTTAGCAGTTTAAAGTCCTTGTCTTCTTTTTAAATCATTTTTGCTATTTCTCAGTCTAGTTTTATTGACTACATTTTCTGCTGGTTATGGATCATGTTTTTCTGCTTTTCATGCCTGATAATTTTATTTTTTGTATTTTAAAAATTTATATCTGTTATTTTTTATGAGTTTTATTTAAATTCAGGGATACATGTGCAAGATGTGCAGGTTTGTTACATAGGTAAATGTATATCAAGGGGCTTTGTTTTATATTCATCAGCCAGGTATTAAGCCCAGTATCCATTAGCTATTTTTCCTGACACTCTTCCTCCTCCAAACTTCTGCCCTCTGGTAGGCCCCAATGTGCATTGTTCCTCTTTATGTGTCCATGTGTTCTCATCATTTATAAGTCAGAACGTGTGGTATTTGGTTTTCTCTTCCTAGGTTAGTTTGCTAAGGATGATGGCCTCCAGCTCCACCATGTCCCTGCAAAAGACATGATCTTTTTCCTTTTTAAGGCTGCATAGTATCCCATGGTATATATGTACCACATTTTCTTTAACCAGTCTATCATTGATGGACATTTAGGTTGATTCCATGTCTTTGCTACTGTGAATAGTGCTACAGTGAACATATGTATGCATTTATCTTTATAATAGAAGAATTTATAGTCCTTTGGGATACCCATTGATGGGTTGAATGGTATTTCTGTCTCTAGGTCTCTGAGGAATCACCACACTGTCTTCCACAATGGTTGAACTAATTTACACTCCCAAAAGCAGTGTAAAAGTGTTTCTTTTTCTCTACAACCTCACCAACATCTTTTATTTTTTGACTTTTTAATAACAGCCTTTCTGACTGGTGTGAGATGGTATCTCATTGTGGTTTTGATTTGTATTTCTCTAAAGATCAGTGATATTGAGATTTTGAAAATATGATTGCTGGCCATGTGTATATCTTCTTTAGAAACGTGTCTGTTCATGTCCTTTGCCCACTTTTTAATGGAGTTGTCTCTTTCTTGTAAATTTGTTTAAATTCCTTATTAATCCTGGATATTAGGCCTTTGTCAGAGGCATAGTTTGCAAACATTTTCTCCCATTCTGTAGATTGTCTGTTTACTCTGTTGATAGTTTCTTTTGCTGTGCAGAAGCTCTGTAATTAGATCCCATTTGTCAATTTTTGCTTTTGTTGCAATTGCTTTTGGCATCTTTGTCATGAACTCTTTGCCCATTCTTATGTTCAAGATAGTACTGTCTAGGTTGTCTTCCAGGGTTTTTATAGTGTTATTCTTTACATTTAAATCTTTACTCTATCTTGAGTTGATTTATGTTTATGGTGTAGGGAAGGGGTCCAGTTTCAATACTCTGTATATGGCTAGCCAGTTCTCCCAGCATTTATTAAATAGGGAACCCTTTCCCCATTGCTTGTTTTTGTTGGCTTTGTTGAAGATCAGATGGTTGTAGGTGTGTGGTCTTATTTCTGGGTTCTCTATTCTGTTCCATTGGTTTATGTGTCTATTCTTGTACCAGTACCATGCTGTTTTGGTTAGGTTACTGTAGCCCTGTAGTATAGTTTGAAGTCAGGTAACATGATGCCTCCAGATTTGTTCTTTTTGTTTAGGATTGCCTTGGCTTTTGGGCTCTTTTTTTGGTTCCATATGAATTTTAAAATAGTTTTATTCTAGTTCTGTGAAGAATGTCAATGGTAGTTTAGCGTCAATAGCATTAAATCTATAAATTGCTTTTGGCATTATGGTCATTTTAACAATACTGATTCTTCCTATCCATGAGCATAGAATGTTTTTCTATTTGTTTGTGTCATCTCTGATTTATTTGAGCAGTGTTTTGTAATTTTCCTGTAGAGATCCTCCACTTCTCTTGTTAGTGATATTCCTAGGTATTTTATGCTTTTTGGGGCAATTGTGAATGGGGGTTCATTCATGATTTGCATGCCTAATAATTCTAAAATTATGTCTGACATTGTGAGTTTTACGTTTTGCTGAAATTATTTGTATTCCTTTAAAGAGTGTTGGGTTTTATTCTGGTGTGTAGTTTCATAACTTGCAGGTAAATTGGAAACTTTTAAGACTTAATTTTAAGCTTTGTTAGGTGTTCCCAGAGAAGCCTTTATCCTGGGATTAATTTAGCTCCAATATTAAGGCAGGACCCTTCTGTGGACTGTATGCAATGACCCATGTTAGGAGGTCTCTTCATTCTGGCTTGTGGAAACATAAGCTATTTTCACTTCTGTGTGAGCCCTGAGAAGCTGTTTTATAGCTTTCCTAAGTCTTTGGTTGTTTCTTATCATTCATGAGTAGGTCAGTATTCAGCCAAAGACTCAAGAAGATCCCTATGCAGAACTCCAGAGCTCTCTGTGAAGTTATGTTATGCAATGAACTGTATACCATAAAATTTATGTATTGAAGCCCTAATCCCTAATGTAATGGTATTTGGAGATGGGGCCTTTGGGAGACAATTGGTCTAGATGAGGTCATGGGGTGGTGTTCTCAAGTGTGACTCCCTCACCCTCTCCTTCTCCTTCCCCCACTCCTCTCTCTGCCATGTTAGGGTACAGCAAGAAGCCAGTGATCTGCCAACCAGGAAGAGAGTCCTCATCAGAACCTGGCATCCTGATCTCAGACTTCCAGCCTCTAGAACTTTCAGAAAATAAACCCCTGCTTTCTAAGCCACCAGCCATGGTATTTCGTTATGACAGCCTGAGCTGAGTCAAGTTGTCTCCTCTTTGTTTTTAAATCTGCAAGTTATAGGAGTCTCCACCTTCCCAAACTTTAATCCCTATTCCTTAATTTGGAGCCCCCTCCTTGACTGTGATCGAAAACTGTTTGAAGGCATTAACTTAGAGTTCACTGATAATCTTGTTTCCCTTTTCTCAGGGATCACATTCTGTTGCCCAGAATCTGAAAAACTTTGTTTTATATAATTTATCTGGTTTTCTTGGCTATGGTGAAGTGGCAATTCCTATGGCAGGCTAACCCTCATAGGCAGAAACCTGTGTCTTTTTAATACAATCTCATTTTATTTTATTGCTTCTGGATGTTGAATGATAGTTTGAAACATTCCTCCCTCTCCCAGGTAATAGAGGAATTTACCCATGTCTTAGTCTAATAGTTCTGTATTTTCTTTTTAACAAATTTAGTATATTTAACAAATTAGTATATGATGAATATTTTTATCTCTAAAAATTATTTTTGTTTAAAGTGGAAGTTATTAATCCTCATTCTGTATCATAAGTACCCAGGGAACTTTTAGAAACATCCATGCCCAGGCCTCACTTTTAGAGGTTAATCGGTGGGGGTAAGACATTGGTAACTTAAAAACATTTTCCAAAATTATTATAATGTGTAAACAGGTCTGAGAATGATTAAAGTCTTCTTTTTTCTTTCTGATATTAATCCAGCACCTTTGACCAGCCATGAAACCTTCTTTCCAATATTAATTATACTGGATTTCATTTGATTAGTTTTTTCTTAGTAGTTTTTCTATGCTTTAACTTTCTAACTTTTTTTGTTCTTTATATTTTAAACTCATCTTTTTGTTTATTTGTCTTTTATAAGTAGCATAAACCTGGATTTTAAACAAATTCTCTAATTTGAAACATTTATCTCTTTGCTGGTATGTTTAGTCCATTTACTTTTATTGTTATTTCTAATATTTTGGATTTACTTATACTAGTTTACTTAGCATTTTCTCTGTGTACTGCTTTTCCTATATCCCCTTTTTCTTCCTTTCTGATTTTCTATCTTCTGAATTTATTACAGTCAAAAACTTTCACCCCCCGCCCCCGCTGCCAACATCTGGTTTGGAAGTCACACACTCTACTTCCATTCTTTTTGTGATTACTTTTGAAATTATTATGGAATATACCTAAAGCCTAAAGTTAATAAATATCTTAACCTCCTTCTGAACTTTGGAAAGACCTTAGAACACTTGAATTCTAATTATATGTTTGTATCGTATATCTAATTTTTGCCCAATATTTTTAAGTCTATCATATTTTAAACACCACAAATTAGATATTATTATTTTATATGGATATATTTTAGATTTATTATCATGTTTACCAAGAAGACACGGAAAGACAGAAATAAGTACTGAGAGTTAATATGTAGAAAAGTGGCAAATGAATTTGAATACCAAAATAGAATTATAAAATAGATACACACCTTCTCTGTATGAAAGCAAAAATTTGTGGTTGCAAACTAAAGACAAAGAATTGTTATAGAATGTTTTCTGATGACATCAGATCAACCTAAGGCTAAAATTTAAAATAGTTGGCATTTTTATCAAGGAAATGAAAATCCAAACAATATATTCTATAATGTTATTATAGTATTTTCATCTGAAATCTGGAAGAGTGTAGTTAATTCTAATGCATCTCAAGAGAGATATGGTAGATCAATGACCAAAGATGTGTTTCTGGCTTTGGTAATAATAGCCATCATATAAAGGACAATTGGGAAACTTCAATCTAGGAGGTTAAGGCTAAAGAAAGACATGACTAAAATTTATAAATTAAGCAGTGTATAAGGTAATACATGATCTTCATCAAACTCTGAAGGAACAGTGTGTCATTCTTTAAAACTTGTTCCTGCATTTAAGCAAATGAAGGACATAATTTTGGAAGATGTGTGGAGCTTAATAAACGGGGGCAGTTATAAATGAATTCATGGTCATTTGCGTGAATTTAGGAATGGCAAAGCTACAAGGAGATAGAAAAAGAAGCTGGAATATAAATGTGAATATATTATGTGCACATGCATGTGTGTGCACACGCACGTACACACGTGCCCACACACACAACCACATCATGTCACTTGGAACCATTTGGTACAGCAGAATACTAGATTGTATTGTCCAGTTTGACAATTTCCACATTTTGATATTGCAGTGAGAGAATGAAAATGTATTTTGGAGCAGATATCAAGAAAAGTCATACTGTATTGGTGGAACTTGAGCTAATAAATCATTGAGAGAAGGCTAGAGAGTGAAGAGGATAAGATGTTTCAAGATACCTGCCAGACAGTGGGGGGTGAGAGGGAAAAGCAGGGAGACTGAATTTAGCCAGTTTGAATAATAGATCCTTGTTATCACATGAGCACTGAATTGAAAGCTTCCTGAGAGTTGGAATAGTGTAAGATAGGAGGATAGACTCTAGGCCAGTGGAGCCCAACAGAGCTATTACTTGTGCTAGTTATTAAAAAGACAAAAAATAACAGATGCTGACAAGGCTGTGGAGAAAAGAGTATGCTTATAAACAGTGGGAATGTAAATTAGTTCAGCCACTGTGGAAAGCAGTTTGGAGATGTCTCAATGAACTTAAAACAGAACTACCATTTGACTTAGCAATCTCATCACTGGGTATATACCCTAAGGAAAAGAAATCATTTTACAAAAAAAAAAGACACATGCACTCGTATGTTCATCACAGCACCATTAACAATAGCAAAGTCACGGAATCAATCTAGGTGCCCATCAGCAGTGGATTGGGTAAAGAAACTGGTACATATACACCACAGAATACTATGGAGCCACAAAAATAATGAAATCATGTTCTTTGCAGCAACATGGATGCAGCTGGAGGCCATCATCTTAAGCAAATTAATGCAGGAACAGAAAACCAAATACTGCATGTTCTCACTTATAGGTGGAAGTTAAACTTTGGGTACATATGACATAAAGATAAGAACAATAGTCACTGGGCACTACTAGAGGGAGGATGAAGGGAGTGGGGAAAGGGCTGAAAAACTATTGGGTACTATGCTCAGGACCTGGGTGATGGGTTCAGTCATACCCCAAACCTCAGCATCATGCAATATACCCATGTAACAAACCTGCACATGTACTTCTTGAATCTAAAACAAAAGTTGAAATTATTAAAAAAGGTAGTTCCTATGCAGTAAAAAAGAAATATAATGTGAGGCATATCTGTACTTTTAAATTTTCTTATGCAAAAGAAATAGATGATACTGTACTGATATGTTTTTATTGAACCCAATATATCTAAAATATTTCCATATGTAGTCAATATAAAAAATTACCAATGAGATAATTTACAGTCTTGTTTTTAATACCAAGTCTTCAAAGTCTAATTTTACACTTATACCATATATTAGTTTGGAAGCTAAATTTTCATCAGAAATACTTTTTTTAATTTTATTTTTTTTTTATTTTTAACAGATATTTATTTCTTAGACTGTTGAATCACCTTCTATTCCATAGAACAGTTACATTTCAGGACACATTAATGTCCTCCACTTGAAAATAATAATAGTGATCATGTTCAAATGAAGGGTTTCTCAAAGTGAAGTCTGCATACCCCCTGAGGACTTGATTCCAGATGTTCATTCCAAATGCAGATTCCAGGGCTCTCTGTCGAGAGTTTTATTTAACCTGCCTAGAGGAGATCCAGGTATCTTCATTCTATTGAGTTCCTATAGAGATTTCTGAAACATGCTAATTAGATTTAGAAATATTTCATAATTTGTAAATTTATTTATATATGAAGCTTGAAAAACAGTAGAAAAATGAAATCTAAGTTGTATATAATGAAATGCTTCTGTGGAGTGAGGTGATGAGGAACACAGGGTAAATAAAGTCTAACAATAAATAAAAGCATATCACGGAAAACCAAACCTCCCTATTATCCTATCTTCCAGTCTTCTTTTTATTTATTTATTTATTTATTTATTTATTTATTTATTTATTTATTATTATACTTTAAGTTTTAGGGTACATGTGAACATTGTGCAGGTTAGTTAAATATGTATACATGTGCCATGCTGGTGCGCTGCACCCACTAACTCGTCATCTAGCATTAGGTATATCTCCCAATGCTATCCCTCCCCCATCCTCCCACCCCACAACAGATCCCAGAGTGTGATGTTCCCCTTCCTGTGTCCATGTGATCTCATTGTTCAATTCCCACCTATGAGTGAGAATATGCGGTGTTTGGTTTTTTGTTCTTGCAATAGTTTACTGAGAATGATGATTTCCAATTTCATCCATGTCCCTACAAAGACATGAACTCATCATTTTCTATGGCTGTATACTATTCCATGGTGTGTATTTGCCACATTTTCTTAATCCAGTCTATCATTGTTGGACATTTGGGTTGGTTCCAAGTCTTTGCTATTGTGAATAATGCCGCAATAAACATACGTGTGCATGTTTCTTTATAACAGCATGATTTATAGTCCTTTGGGTATATACCCAGTAATGGGATGGCTGGGTCAAATGGTATTTCTAGTTCTAGATCCCTGAGGAATCTCCACACTGACTTCCACAATGGTTGAACTAGTTTACAGTCCCACCAACAGTGTAAAAGTGTTCCTATTTCTCCACATCCTCTCCAACACCTGTTGTTTCCTGACTTTTTAATGATTGCCATTCTAACTGGTGTGAGATGGTATGTCATTGTGATTTTGATTTGCATTTCTCTGATGGCCAGTGATGATGACCATTGTTTCATGTGTCTTTTGGCTGCATAAATGTCTTCTTTTGAGAAGTGTCTGTTCATGTCCTTCACCCACATTTTGATGGGGTTGTTTGTTTTTTTCTTGTAAATTTGTTGGAGTTCACTGTAGATTCTGGATATTAGCCCTTTGTCAGATGAGTAGGTTGTGAAAATTTTCTCCCATTTTGTAGATTGCCTGTTCACTCTGATGGTAGTTTCTTTTGCTGTGTAGAAACACTTTAGTTTAATTAGATCGCATTTGTCAATTTTGTCTTTTGTTGCCATTGCTTTTGGTGTTTTAGACATGAAGTCCTTGCCCATGCCTATGTCCTGAATGGTAATGCCTAGGTTTTCTTCTAGGGTTTTTATGGTTTTAGGTCTAATGTTTAAGTCTTTAATCCATCTTGAATTGATTTTTGTATAAGGTGTAAGGAAGGGATCCAGATTCAGCTTTCTACATATGGCTAGCCAGTTTTCCCAGCACCATTTATTAAATAGGGAATCCTTTCCCCATTGCTTGTTTTTCTCAGGTTTGTCAAAGATCAGATAGTTGTAGATATGCGGCGTTATTTCTGAGGGCTCTGTTCTGTTCCATTGATCTATATCTCTGTTTTGGTACCAGCACCATGCTGTTTTGGTTACTGTAGCCTTGTAGTATAGTTTGAAGTCAGGTAGTGTGATGCCTCCAGCTTTGTTCTTTTGGCTTAGGATTGAATTTGCAATGCAGGCTCTTTTTTGGTTCCATATGAACTTTAAAGTAGTTTTTTCCAATTCTGTGAAGAAAGGCATTGGTAGCTTGATGCGGATGGCATTGAATCTGTAAATTACCTTGGGCAGTATGGCCATTATCACGATATTGATTCTTCCTACCCATGAGCATGGAATGTTCTTCCATTTGTTTGTATCCTCTTTTATTTCATTGAGCAGTGGATTGTAGTTCTCCTTGAAGAGGTCCTTCACATCCCTTGTAAGTTGGATTCCTAGGTATTTTATTCTCTTTGAAGCAATTGTGAATGGGAGTTCACTCATGATTTGGCTCTCTGTTTGTCTGTTCTTGGTGTATAAGAATGCTTGTGATTTTTGTACATTGATTTTGTATCCTGAGACTTTGCTGAAATTGCTTATCAGCTTAAGGAGGTTTTGGGCTGAGACAATGGGGTTTTCTAGATATACAATCATGTTGTCTGCAAACAGGGATAATTTGACTTCCTCTTTTCCTAATTGAATACCCTTTATTTCCTTCTCCTGCCTGATTGCCCTGGCCAGAACTTCCAACACTATGTTGAATAGGAGTGGTGAGAGAGGTCATCCCTGTCTTGTGCCAGTTTTCAAAGGGAATGCTTCCAGTTTTTGCCCATTCAGTATGATATTGGCTGTGGGTTTGTCATAGATAGCTCTTATTATTTTGAAATACGTCCCATCAATACCTAATTTATTGAGAGTTTTTAGCATGAAGTGTTGTTGAAATTTGTCAAAGGCCTTTTCTACATCTATTGAGATAATCATGTGGTTTTTATCTTTGGCTCTGTTTATATGCTGGATTACATTTATTGATTTGCATATATTGAACCAGCCTTGCATCCCAGGGATGAAGCCCACTTGATCATGGTGGATAAGCTTTTTGATGTGCTGCTGGATTCGTTTTGCCAGTATTTTATTGAGGATTTTTGCATCAATGTTCATCAAGGATATTGGTCTAAAATTCTCTTTTTTTGTTGTGTCTCTGCCCAGCTTTGGTATCAGAATGATGCTGGCCTCATAAAATGAGTTAGGGAGGATTCCCTCTTTTTCTATTGATTGGAATAGTTTCAGAAGGAATGGTACCAGTTCCTCCTTGTACCTCTGGTAGAATTCGGCTGTGAATCCATCTGGTCCTGGACTCTTTTTGATTGGTAAGCTATTGATTATTGCCACAATTTCAGATCCTGTTATTGGTCTATTCAGAGATTCAACTTCTTCCTGGTTTAGTCTTGGGAGAGTGTATGTGTCGAGGAATTTATCCATTTCTTCTAGATTTTCTAGTTTATTTGCATAGAGGTGTTTGTAGTATTCTCTGATGGTAATTTGTATTTCTGTGGGATCAATGGTGATATCCCCTTTATCATTTTTTATTGCATCTATTTGATTCTTCTCTCTTTTTTTCTTTGTTAGTCTTGCCAGTGGTCTATCTATTTTGTTGATCCTTTCAAAAAACCAGCTCCTGGATTCATTAATTTTTTGAAGGGTTTTTTGTGTCTCTATTTCCTTTAGTTCTGCTCTGATTTTAGTTATTTCTTGCCTTCTGCTAGCTTTTGAATGTGTTTGCTCTTGCTTTTCTAGTTCTTTTAATTGTGATGTTAGGGTGTCAGTTTTGGATCTTTCTTGCTTTCTCCTGTGGGCATTTAGTGCTATAAATTTCCCTCTACACAGTGCTTTGAATGCGTCCCAGAGATTCTGGTATGTTGTGTCTTTGTTCTCTTTGGTTTCAAAGAACATCTTTATTTCTGCCTTCATTTCATTATGTACCCAGTAGTCATTCAGGAGCAGGTTGTTCAGTTTCCATGTAGTTGAGCGGTTTTGAATGAGATTCTCAATCCTGAGTTCTAGTTTGATTGCACTGTGTTCTGAGAGATAGTTTGTTATAATTTCTGTTCTTTTACATTTGCTGAGGAGAGCTTTACTTCCAAGTATGTGGTCAATTTTGGAATAAGTATGGTGTGGTGCTGAAAGAAATGTATATTCTATTGATTTGGGGTGGAGAGTTCTGTAGATGTCTATTAGGCCCGCTTGGTGTAGAGCTGAGTTCAATTCCTGGGTATCCTTGTTGACTTTCTGTCTCATTGATCTGTCTAATGTTGACAGTGGGGTGTTAAACTCTCCCATTATTAATGTGTGGGAGTCTAAGTCTCTTTATAGGTCACTCAGGACTTGCTTTATGAATCTGGGTGCTCCTGTATTGGGTGCATATATATTTAGCATAGTTAGCTCTTGTTGTTGAATTGATCCCTTTACCATGATGTAATGGCCTTCTTTGTCTCTTTTGATCTTTGTTGGTTTAAGGTCTGTTTTATCAGAAACTAGGTTTGCAACCCCTGCCTTTTTTTGTTTTCCATTGGCTTGCTAGATCTTCCTCCATCTTTTTATTTTGAGCCTATGTGTGTCTCTGCACATGAGATGGGTTTCCTGAATACAGCACACTGATGGGTCTGGACTCTTTATCCAATTTGCCAGTCTGTGTCTTTTAATTGGAGCATTTAGTCCATTTACATTTAAAGTTAATATTGTTATGTGTGAATTTGATCCTGTCATTATGATGTTAGCTGGTTATTTTGCTCGTTAATTAATGCAGTGTCTTCCTAGTCTCAATGGTCTTTACATTTTGGCATGATTTTGCAGCAGCTGGTACCTGTTGTTCCTTTCCATGTTTAGTGCTTCCTTCAGGAGCTCTTTTAGGGCAGGCCTGGTGGTGACAAAAACTCTCAGCATTTGCTTGTCTGTAAAGTATTTTATTTCTCCTTCCGTTATGAAGCTTAGTTTGACTGGATATGAAATTCTGGGTTGAAAATTCTTTTCTTTAAGAATGTTGAATATTGGCCCCCAGTCTCTTCTGGCTTGTAGGGTTTATGCCAAGAGATCCACTTTTAGTCTGATGGGCTTCTCTTTGTGGGTAACCCGACCTTTCTCTCTGGCTGCCCTTAACATTTTTTCCTTCATTTCAACTTTGGTGAATCTGACAATTATGTGTCTTGGAGTTGCCCTTTTCAAGGAGTGTCTTTGTGGCATTCTCTATATTTCCTGAATCTGAATGTTGGCCTGCCTTGCTAGATTGGGGAAGTTCTCCTGGATAATATCCTGTAGAGTGTTTTCCAACTTGGTTCCATTCTCCCCATCACTTTCAGGTACACCAGTGAGATGTGGATTTGGTCTTTTCACATAGTCCCATATTTCTTGGAGGCTTTGCTTGTTTCTTTTTATTCTTTTTTCTCTAAACTTCCCTTCTCACTTCATTTCATCTTCCATTGCTGATACCCTTTCTTCCAGTTGATCGCATCGGCTCCTGAGGCTTCTACATTCTTCACATAGTTCTCGAGCCTTGGTTTTCAGCTCCATCAACTCCTTTAAGCACTTCTCTGTATTGGTTATTCTAGTTATACATTCTTCTAAATTTTTTTTCAAAGCTTTCAACTTCTTTGCCTTTGGTTTGAATGTCCTCCCGTAGCTCAGTGTAATGTGATCGTCTGAAGCCTTCTTCTCTCAGTTCGTCAAAGTCATTCTCCATCCGGCTTTGTTCCGTTGCTGGTGAGGAACTGCGTTCCTTTGGAGGAGGAGAGGCGCTCTGCTTTTTAGAGTTTCCAGTTTTTCTGTTCTGTTTTTTCCCCATCTTTGTGGTTTTATCTACTTTTGGTCTCTGATGATGGTGATGTACAGATGGGTTTTTGGTGTGGATGTCCTTTCTGTTTGTTAGTTTTCCTTCTAACAGACAGGACCCTCAGCTGCAGGTCTGTTGGAGTACCCTGCCATGTGAGGTGTCAGTGTGCCCCTGCTGGGGGTTGCCTCCCAGTTAGGCTGCTCGGGGGTCAGGGGTCAGGGACCCACTTGAGGAGGCAGTCTGCCCGTTCTCAGATCTCCAGCTGCATGCTGGGAGAACCACTGCTCTCTTCAAAGCTGTCAGACAGGGACATTTAAGTCTGCAGAGGTTACTGCTGTCTTTTTATTTGTCTGTGCCATGCCCCCAGAGATGGAGCCTACAGAGGCAGGCAGGCCTCCTTGAGCTGTGGTGGGCTCCACCCAGTTCGAGCTTCCTGGCTGCTTTTTTTACCTAAGCAAGCCTGGGCAATGGTTGGCGCCCCTCCCCCAGCCTCACTGCCACCTTGCAGTTTGATCTCAGACTGCTGCGCTAGCAATCAGTGAGACTCCGTGGGCGTAGGACCCTCCGAGCCAGGTGCGGGATATAATCTCATGGTGTGCCATTTTTTAAGCCCGTCGGAAAAGCGCAGTATTCGGGTGGGAGTGACCCAATTTTCCAGGTGCCGTCCGTCACCCCTTTCTTTGACTAGGAAAGGGAACTCCCTGACCCCTTGCACTTCCCGCGTGAGACCATGCCTCACCCTGCTTCGGCTCATGCATGGTGCATGCACCCACTGACCCGTGCCCACTGTCTGGCACTCCCTAGTGAGATGAACCGGGTACCTCAGATGGAAATGCAGAAATCACCCGCCTTCTGTGTCGCTCACGCTGGGAGCTGTAGACCGGAGCTGTTCCTATTCAGCCATCTTGGCTCTTCCCTCTTTCATCAGAAATACTTGATCTGTATTTAGATTTCATAAATATCATAAATTTATGGTTGAAAAGTATATTCACATACTCAATAACCAACTTAACTATTGGTTTTTAAAATTAAATTTAAATTAATTTAATGAAGTTAAAAAATTTTCCCAGTTGCATTAGCTATATTTTAAATGCTCATTAGCTGTATGTGGCTATTGGACAGTGAAGCTCTAGTGCCTGATTTTTCAAAACCTGTCTGCAAGTTAACTACTTCCTAGTTATTTGAACATGTTTCTTAACCTTTCTAAATCTTGGTTTCCTTACTTGTCAAGTGAACTAATAATATTATCTGGTTCATAGGAATATTTTGAAGGTTAAATCAGATAACCCATGTAATGCACATAGCGCAATGCATTGCACATACCAAGTGCTGATTTTGGGTTATTATTTTGACAATTAGAAACCTAGGGATGAGAACCAGGCTGGACTTAGGAAGAATGAAAAATGTGTCTTGAGCATCCTGACTTTGAGGTGAAGATGGTGAATCTAACTGAAGAAGAAGATTAGAATTTAGGTGAAGGGGTTATGCCCAGAGAAAGCACAGGAGAATAGAACCTCATGGATGTTCTTATGACTGGCTATAGCAGGGATCATCCACTTTTCTTTCTTTCCCACTAGACTGTAAAGCATTTGATGTTTCCTAGATGTGATTAGTGCAACTTAGAAACTGATTAGATTTTGGCTGGGCACAGTGGCTCATGTCAGTAATCCCAGCACTTTGGGAGGCCAAGGTGGGGAGATCACCTGAAGTCAGGAGTTGGAGACCTGTCTGGCCAACATGGCGAAACCCCATCCTACTGAAAATACAAAAATTAATGGGGCCTCGTGGTGTACGCCTGTAATCCCAGCTTCTCGGGAGGCTAAGGCAGGAGAATTGCTTGAACTCAGGAGGCAGAGGTTGCAGTGAGCCAAGATGGTGCCACTTCCCTCCAGCCTGGGCAAGACTCTCCAAAAAAAAAAAAAAAAAAGAAACTGATTAGATTTTAAGTGCCTGGAATTGATCCTGCACAGAGTAGTCATTTAAGAAATACCTATTAAATGAACAAGTTGGAACAACCAAGGGACTAAATATCACAAGGGAATAGAAAATTGAATACTAAAAGTAAATGTTTTATAGGGCTTTGGCTGACTACTACCTGATCATATGCTTCTAAAGTAATGACTGTTCAAATGAACATTTTAGGCATACTCTCAGATATACCTTTTGATATGGATGAAAAGCATCAATTTTAGCTAAAAGTTTAGTGTGTAAGAGTGACTCTGAGATATTAAAAATAAAATTCTTCATTTTCAAAAGGACACTGTTATAATTCAAATTAATATAGTCTTTGTTGTTGTTGTTGTTTCTTCTCATTATTTGCATTTTAAGCCCATCTCTATGTTTTGAGATTTTGAAGACTGTGAAAGTCACATGAAAGGTATAAAAAAGATTACCCGGTATTCCTCCCTCCTAGCAAATCTTTCTCTCTCAACAGTTATGCGTCAGAGAATTCTATTAGTGGACAATGAAGAGGCAATCTAGTTCGTGTGATGTCGCTTCCCCGTTTGGTGACACTTTTCTATAGCATTCTTCAGGCTATTTCATTTGACACTTTGGAACAGCTGCCAAGTCCTTTCCTGCTCCCTGTAAACAAGGCTGTCATTCACAGAGCTTTCCCTTACCTTGCATAGGGAATGGAGGTTAAAGACTTCGGAAATCGAAAACAGAACAGCCATCAAAAGGACTTTTAATACCAGGAGAATTATAGGAGAATAATTGAATCAAATAAAATAAGAATATAAATAGACCGTGTTACAAACTGCATTTGTTAAAAGGTTTCATATGAGTTGAAGTTTTGTGTTACCTGGGAAGAGTAATAAAAAGAAATGAAATAGATTGAAAATGGTTACCCTTGAGAAGTTATTTCTGACTTTTTGGCAGGATTCCCCTGTGGCTGCGGATGCCCATATAGTGTGTCTCATCCCTACTTTCTTTCAACTTCAATTCTGCTTTACAAGTAAGATTTCTGATAGTTTTTTTTTTCCCCTTAGAGTGTATTTGATTTATCATTTAGTTTAGTGGTTAAAGAAATGAGACAGGCGTTTGTATCTAGGGAAATACTGACACTTTTAGGCTTCTGATAGGTGGCCTTTTAAGGTCAACTACTCTAAGAGGAATCAAGAGCATTTTTTTTTTTTTTGGACAGATCCTGTTCAATCTGTATCTGAAGATACTAGAAACAGGAATGAGAAGAGTAGAGAAGGATATTGTTTGGATGTTTGTCTCCTCCAAATCCTATATTTAAATGCAATTCCCAATGTTGGAGGTGTTTGAATCATGGAGGGTGATCTCTTATGAATGGCTTAGGGCCATCGCCTTGGTGATAAGTGAATTCTCACTCTGACTTCACGTGATATCTGCTTGTTTCAAAGAGTGTAGCCCCTCCCTTTCTTTCTCTCTTTTGCTCCTGCTCTCATCGTGTGACATGCTGGCTCTCTGTCACCTTCCACCATTATTGAAAACTTCCTGAAGCCTCACCAGAAGCCAAACAGATGTCGGTGCCATGCTTTCTGTACAGCCTGCAGAACCCAGAGCCAATTAAACCTCTTTTCTTTGTAAGTTACACAATTTCAGGTATTCCTTTAGAGCAACACAAAAATGGTCTAATACAAGGACTTTTAAGAAAGAAATACAATCTCATACATACACATATACAAATACGCAGCTGATGGAGAAGGAAATGGAGAGATTTTGCATCACAGTGTTTAATAAGCTTCTTAAATGCAAGGCACATTGATAACATATGGACGTTTTACAAAAGACTGGCTGGTTAACTTATAAAGGTCTTTTGATTTTGTAGGTCTCAAACTGAATATTCTTTGATTCCATGAGTCTCATATGGCATTATCATTATTATTAATTCAACAAATAGTAATAAGAGCTTACTATATTCAGAGTATTGTTCTAGACACTGGATTTAGAATAAAAAATGAAGAAGACATGGTAATTTGCTTGCAGAGTTTGTATCTCTAGTAAGGGTAGAGATGCACTAGACAAATTTACAATTAAAAAGTGTAAAAAATGTATTTAAAAAAGGAGGAAGACGAAATTTGGTTAAGAAATTAGGTAATATTTAATCTCAAACAGGAGGGATAATAAGAAACTACTCTGGCAAAGAACATGGTAGATGGAACAGGGGTGCCATCTTACTTTAGGCAGATTGAAATTGGGGAAATTTTTAATGCAGCAACAGATAACTAATATACTATTACATTCTTTCCACTCTACAAGCTGCCTATTTTCTGAGAGCTATTAAATATTTACAATTTACAATGGTAATTATGAAGGTCCAAGGTAGGAAATACCTTAATTTGCTCTAGTAAAGGAAAAGTCCATGTGATTATAGTTTATAAGTGGGGGAATGACACTGGATGAGGTTGAGGATGTAGTCAGGGAGTTGTGAGCTTGTTATTGAGCTTAAGAGTCATTTTTTTAGTTGATTTTTCTGGCTACTGTGTGAAGAATGGATTAGTGGGAGGCAAAACTGAAAAAGGGAGCTATTAAGTATTATAGATGAAAGATGGTAGGTTGGCAGCATTGAACATAGAGGTAAGTGCATGAATTCAAGACACATTTTGGAGGTAGACTATAGAGAACTTTTTATTGGGTTGAATATGGAGAGAGGTCATGGGAGTAGAAGAAATCAAGGATAACACCCCAGTTAGTTTCAGGCTTGAGTATCTATGTGGATGGAGAAGCCAGGGACAGTAATGTTTTGGGAATGAAGAGTTCTGTTGTAGACATGTTAAGTTTAACATGCATGTGTGACAACTGGAGACCTCAACTTAACTGCTGGATATATGAATCAAGAGGCATAAATGTGGGATTCTTTGACATTTATATAGATTTTCATGTGTTGGAAGTAGATGAGCAATTTGGAGTAGAGGAAAAAGATGGCATTGGACTGAGTCCTGAGAAATAGTAACATTTATAAAACAGGCAGAAGAGGAAGAGTCAGAAAAGGAGACTGAGCAGAAGTCACCAGAGAGGTAGGAGGAAGACTGAGATGGTGTGGTGTCCTAGGAACCAAGGGAGGAGAGTATGTTCATAGGATGGAATGACTACCTGATTGGATGTGGGATTAAGATAAAGATAAGGAAGCTTCCACTGTAAATGGTGAAAGATGATAATTAATACTGATAAATGTAATATCAGTATAATAATGGGACCAAAACCCAACTAGAATGAATAAAGGCAAAAATGAAAGATGGTAAAACAGAGAAATCAAAAATAAGCATCTGCCTTGGAGGTTTTGCCCAGGAAGATCAGATAAATGGGGTTAAGGAAGAGCGTTTTTAGAATAGCGGCATGAAGGCATATTGATACGTTTCTGAAATTAATATAAAGAGAGGGATGAATTGGTGATGCAAGAAAGAGTAGAAACTATTGGAAGTAAAATTCTTTAGTAGTTGAGAGGGCATGGGGTATTAAGGTATTGGCCATAGAGAGAAGCATGGATGGGACTTTGTGGATACAGATGCAGATTGATTGGTGGGTTTGGTGGGAAGATAGTGAGAATGTCTTTGATTTCTTCAATTTTCATAGTGAGGTCACTGATAATAATGACATGAATAAAGGGAAGAAGGAGACTTAAAGCCAGTGGCTGGAGTCTTTAAGGCCAGAAGAACGTGAATGTCAGTAATAATAAACTTTTCCATGAATATATCTCTCCTCTTGGATGTTTTGTTTCCACAGTGTAAAGGATAAAATATGCTAATTTTTTCTTCTCTATGATTTCCCTCCTGTCTGGCTCTTTGTTTTTTAGTAACATTAAAAGACTCTTGGAAAGTTTGACCAGAGCATATGGAGAAACATGAGTAGGTTCATTTACAGTTAGCATAACCAGAGAGTTGAAAGTAGTGTCTACAGTATCCCTCTGCTTCAATGAACCTTTGGAGCCTCCACCAGAAGGAAAATGATATGACTGAATTTAATTGCCTTGTGGCAAAAGCAGTAAAAATTTACCTGAGAAGTTATCTTACGTTAAAATGCTATATCTTGCTCTTATGATGTTGCAAAACAAACAGAAACTCCTAGAGTTAGGAGAAAAAAATTGACAAAAATATATAATATTTAATTTTTTTCTTCTTAAATGGAGAAATGTAAATCAAAGTCATACCCACACAGAGTGATTAATGCTTGAATTTTAGCCAATGCATCCTAGAAAACAATTGTAAATATAACAGTAGTTATATAAGAGGCAGGTTTTAGAGTGTAAAGAGCAAAAATATGTACTAGTTATCCATAATGGCATAACAGATTTCCCCAAACCCATAGCTTAAAATAATTTATTATTTCATTATTGATGTGGGTCAGGAATTAAGGAGTGGCTTAGCTGGATGATTCTGGGTCTTGGTCTCTTACGAGGTTTAATCAGCCTGAGGTTGTTAGCTGGGGCTGCAGTCTCATCTGAAAGCTCAAGCAAGGGAGGATATGCTTCCAAGCTTACTCATGGAGTTGATAGCAGACCTCAGTCCCTGGGCACATAGGCCTCTTCATAATCTTCATGAATGTCATATGGCTTTCAGCTAGTTTCCTTAGAGTGAGTGATGGGAGAGGGAGGGAAGGGAGGAGGGGCCTACATAAAGATGTGAATACCAAGAGGTGAGAATCATTGCAGATGATTGTGGAGGCTGGCTATCACAGTGGTTTTCAAATATACAATATCCTCACCATTTGTCTGTGTAATTTTGGAGAATCAGTTAACATTTTTGAGATGCAATTTTCTCATTTGGTAGATCTCTAGCAACTTTTCTTGCTCTAAAAAAACTAGCCTATTCCCTAAACATTGTTTATACAGGTGGCTAAAAAGTGAAATTGCAGTTTTCATCTACCTTCTTAACTATACATTTTTCAGTGTTGATGGATAACTTTGGCAAGATTACAGAAAATTTATAAGGGAATGAATACTCGTCAATCAACCATAGAGAAGAGTTTCCAAATTCTGTGAAGATAATTTAAAGCAGAAGATTCAAAATGATATTTGAGAATAGTTAAACCACTGAATATCGTTCATATTTAGGCTACCATTATCTTTTTTAAATAACAGATTTATTGAGATATATTTACATACTATATAATTTACCCACTTACAGTGTACAATTTAATGGTTTTTAATTCATTCACAGGAGTGTGCAATCTTCCTCACAGTCAATTTTAAAACGTTTTCATCCTCCAAAAAGAAACTCTATACCCATTAGCAGTTGTTTCTCATCACAACTATCGTCTGCCACCATTAATATACTTTCATCTCTGTAGATTTGCCTACTCTGGACTTTTCTTATAACTTGAATATTATAATAGGCACTCTTTTGTGTCTAGCTTCTTTAAGTTAGCAAGTTTTCAAGATTCACCCATGTTGTAGTACATGTTGGTACTACATTATCTTTATTGCTGAATAATACTCCATTGCAGGATACACCACATTTTACTTGTTCATTCAACAACGGATAAATGCATTGATGAATATGTGATTTGATTCCACTTTTTGGCTATTATGAATAATGTTGCTATGAACATTAGTATATAAGTTTTTGTGTGAACATGCATTTTCATTTCTCCAGCATATATATTTAGGAGTGGAATTGCTGGTTCATATGGTAATTCTGTGTTTAATATTTTGAGGAACTGTCAAACTGTTTTCCAAAGCAGTTGCACCATGTTACATTCCTCCCAGCAATGTATGAGACTCCAATTTCTGCACATCAATGCCAACTGTTTTTGTCTGTCTTTTTTATTACAGTCATCCTAGTGGATGTGAAGTGGTATTTCCTTGCATTTCCCTAATGGCTAATAATGTTGAGCATCCTTTTATGTGCTTGTGGGCCATTTGTTATCTTCTTTGGATATATGTCTTTTGAAATCCTTTACCCATCTTCTTTTTATTTGGTTTAGTATATCTCTGTGTTTTCATTATTGATTTTTTAAAATAAATTTTGTTGTATATATTTAGGGTATACAACATGATGTTATGGGATACACAGAGTAAAAAGGTTACTATAATGAAGGAAATTAACATATCCATTATTTCACATAGTTATCCATTTTTTGTGTGTGTGGTGAGAGCAGGTAAAATCTATTCATTTAGCATGAATCCCATATACAGCACAATTTTATTACCTATAGTCTGCACATGATACATTAAATCTCTAGACTTATTCATCCTACATATCTTCTACTTCATATTTTCTTTCTTTTTTTTATTATTATTATCCTTTAAGTTTTAGGGTACATGTGCACAACGTGCAGGTTTGTTATATATTTATACATGTGCTATGTTGGTGTGCTGCACCCATTAACTCGTCACTTAGCATTAGGTATATCACCTAATGCTATCCCTCCCACCTCCCCCGACCCCACAACTGTCCCTGGTGTGTGATGTTCCCCTTCCTGTGTCCATGTGTTCTCACTGGTCAATTCCCACCTATGAGTGAGAACAGGTGGTGTTTGGTTTTTTGTCCTTGCGATAGTTTGCTGAGAATGATGGTTTCCAGCTTCATCCATGTCCCTACAAAGGACATGAACTCATCATTTTTTATGGCTGCATAGTATTCCATGGTGTATATGGGCCACATTTTCTTAATCCAGTCTATCATTGTTGGACATTTGGGTTGGTTCCAAGTCTTTGCTATTGTGAATAGTGCCGCAATAAACATACATGTGCATGTGTCTTTATAGCAGCATGATTTATAATCCTTTGGGTATATACACCCAGTAATGGGATGGCTGGGTCAAATGGTATTTCTAGTTCTAGATCCCTGGGGAATTGCCACACCAACTTCCACAATGGTTGAACTGGTTTATAGTCCCAACAACAGTGTGAAAGTGTTCCTATTTCTCCACATCCTCTCCAGCACCTGCTGTTTCCTGACTTTCCAATGATCGCCATTCTAACTGGTGTGAGATGGTATCTCATTGTGGTTTTGATTTGCATTTCTCTGATGGCCAGCATTTTTTCATGAGTCTTTTGGCTGCATAAATGTCTTCTTTTGAGAAGTGTCTGTTCATATCCTTCACCCACTTTTTGATGGGGTTGTTTGTTTTTTTCTTGTAAATTTGTTGGAGTTCATTGTAGATTCTGGATATTAGCCCTTTGTCAGATAAGTAGATTGCAAAATTTTCCCCCATTCTCTATGTTGCCTGTTCACACTGATGGTAGTTTCTTTTGCTGTGCAGAAGCTCTTTAATTTAATTAGATCCCATTGCTCAATTTTGGCTTTTGTTGCCATTGCTTTTGGTGTTTTAGACATGAAGTCCTTGCCCGTGCCTATGTCCTGAATGGCATTGCCTAGGTTTTCTTCTAAGGTTTTTATGGTTTTAAGTCTAACATGTAAGTCTTTAATCCATCTTGAATTAATTTTAGTGTAAGGTGTAAGGAAAGGATGCATTTTCAGCTTTCTACATATGGCTGGACAGTTTTCCTGGCACCATTTATTAAATAGGGAATCCTTTCCCTATTGCTTGTTTTTCTCAGGTTTGTCAAAGATCAGATAGTTGTAGATATGTGGCATTATTTCTGAGGGCTCTGTTCTGTTCCATTGGTCTATATCTCTGTTTTGGTACCAGTACCGTGCTGTTTTGGTTACTGTAGCCTTGTAGTATAGTTTGAAGTCAGGTAGTGTGATGCCTCCAGCTTTGTTCTTTTGGCTTAGGATTGACTTGGCAATGCAGGCTCTTCTTTCATTCCATATGAGCTTTAAAGTAGTTTTTTTCCAATTCTGTGAAGAAAGGCATTGGTAGCTTGATGGGGATGGCATTGAATCTATAAATTACCTTGGGCAGTATGGCCATTTTCACGATATTGATTCTTCCTACCCATGAGCATGGAATGTTCTTCCATTTCTTTGTATCCTCTTTTATTTCATTGAGCAGTGGTTTGTAGTTCTCTTTGAAGAGGTCCTTCACATCCCTTGTAAGTTGGATTCCTAGGTATTTTATTCTCTTTGAAGCAATTGTGAATGGGAGTTCACTCATGATTTGGCTCTCTGTTTGTCTGTTGTTGGCGTATAAGAATGCTTGTGATTTTTGCACATTGATTTTGTATCCTGAGACTTTGCTGAAGTTGCTTATCAGCTTAAGGAGATTTTAGGCTGAGACAATGGGGTTTTCTAGATATACAATCATGTCATCAGCAAACAGGGACAATTTGACTTCCTATTTTCCTAATTGAATGCCCTTTATTTCCTGCTCCTGCCTGGTTGCCCTGGCCAGAACTTCCAACACTATGTTGAATAGGAGTGGTGAGAGATGGCATCCCTGTCTTGTGCCAGTTTTCAAAGGAAATGCTTCCAGTTTTTGCCAATTCAGTATGATATTGGCTGTGGGTTTGTCATAGATAGCTCTTATTATTTTGAGATACATCCCATCAATACCTAATTTATTGAGAGTTTTTAGCATGAAGTGTTGTTGAAATTTGTCAAAGGCCTTTTCTGCATCTATTGAGATAATCATGTGGTTTTTGTCTTTGGTTCTATTTATATGCTGGATTACATTTATTGATTTGTGTATATTGAACCAGCCTTGCATCCCAGGGATGAAGCGTACTTGATCATGGTGGACACGCTTTTTGATGTGTTGCTGGATTTGGTTTGCCAGTATTTTATTGAGGATTTTTGCATCAGTGTTCATCAAGGATATTGGTCTAAAATTCTCTTTTTTTGTTGCCTCTGCCAGGCTTTGGTATCAGGATGATGCTGGCCTCATAAAATGAGTTAGGGAGGATTCCCTCTTTTTCTATTGATTGGAATAGTTTCAGAAGGAATGGTACCAGTTCCTCCTTGTATCTCTGGTAGAATTTGGCGGTGAATCCGTCTGTTCCTGGACTTTTTTTGGTTGGTAAGCTATTGATTATTGCCTCAATTTCGGATCCTGTTATTGTTCTATTCAGAGATTCAACTTCTTCCTGGTTTAGTCTTGGGAGAGTGTATGTGTCGAGGAATTTATCCATTTCTTCTAGATTTTCTAGTTTATTTGTGTAGAGGTGTTTATAGTATTCTCTGATGGTAGTTTGCATTTCTGTGGGATCGGTGGTGATATCCCCTTTGTCATTTTTCATTGTGTCTATTTGATTCTTCTACGTTTTCTTCTTTACTAGTCTTGCTAACAGTCTATCAATTTTGTCGATCTTTTCAAAAAACCAGCTCCTGGATTCATTGATTTCTTGAAGGGTGTTCTTGTGTCTCTATTTCCTTCAGTTCTGCTCTGATCTTAGTTATTTCTTGCCTTCTAATAGCTTTTGAATGTGTTTGCTCTTGCTTCTCTCGTTCTTTTAATTGTGATGTTAGAGTGTCCATTTTAGATCTTTCCTGCTTTCTCTTGTGGGCATTTAGTGTTATAAATTTCCCTCTACACACTGCTTTGAATGCTTCCCAAAGATTCTGGTATGTTGTGTCTTTGTTCTTTTTGGTTTCAAAGAGCATCTTTATTTCTGCCTTCATTTCGTTATGTACCCAGTAGTCATTCAGGAGCAGGTTGTTCAGTTTCCATATAGTTGACTGGTTTTGAGTGAGTTTCTTAATCCTGAGGTCTAGTTTGATTGCACTGTGGTCTGAGAGACAGTTTGTTTTAATTTCTGTTCTTTTATATTTGCTGAGGAGTGCTTTACTTCCAACTGTGTGGTCAATTTTGGAATAGGTGTGGTGTGGTGCTGAAAAGAATGTATATTCTATTGATTTGGGCTGGAGAGTTCTGTAGATGTCTATTAGGTCTGCTTGGTGCAGAGCTGAGTTCAATTCCTGGGTATCCTTGTTGACTTTCTGTCTCGTTGATCTTTCTAATGTTGACAGTGGGGTGTTAAAGTCTCCCATTATTATTGTGTGGCAGTCTAGGTTTCTTTGTAGGTCATTAAGGAGTTGCTTTATGAATCTGGGTGCTCCTGTATTGGGTGCATATATATTTAGGATGGTTAGTTCTTCTTGTTGAATTGATCTCTTTACCATTGTGTAATAGCCTTATTTGTCTCTTTTGATCTTTGTTGGTTTAAAGTCTGTTTTATCCGAGACTAGGATTGTAACCCCTGCCTTTTTTTGTTTTCCATTTGCTTGGTAGATCTTCCTCCATCCCTTTATTTTGAGCCTATTTGTGTCTTTGCACATGAGATGGGTTTCCTGAATACAGCACACTGATGGGTCTTGACTCTTTATCCAGTTTGTCAGTCTGTGTCTTTTAATTGGGGCATTTAGCCCATTTACATTTCAGGTTTGTATTGTTATGTGTGGATTTGATCCTGTCATTATGATGTTAGCTGGTTATTTTGCTCGTTAGTTGATGCACTTTCTTCCTAGCCTGGATGGTCTTTACAATTTGGCATGTTTTTGCAGTGGCTGGTACTGGTTGTTCCTTTCCATGTTTAGTGCTTCCTTCAGGAGCTCTTTTAGGGCAGGCCTGGTGGTGACAAAATCTCTCAGCATTTGCTTGTCTGTAAAGGATTTTATTTCTCCTTCACTTATGAAGCTTAGTTTGGCTGGATATGAAATTCTGGGTTGAAAATTCTTGTTTTTAAGAATGTCGAATATTGGCCCCCAGTCTCTTCGGGCTTGGAGAGTTTCTGCCAAGAGATCCACTGTTAGTCTGATGGGCTTCCCTTTGTGGGTAACCAGACCTTTCTCTCTGGCTGCCCTTAATATTTTTTCCTTCATTTTAACTTTGGTGAATCTGACAATTATGTGTCTTGGAGTTGCTCTTCTCGAGGAACATCTTTGTGGCATTCTCTGTGTTTCCTGAATTTGAATGTTGGCCTTCCTTGCTAGACTGGGGAAGTTCTCCTGGATAATATCCTGCAGAGTGTTTTCCAACTTGGTTCCATTCTCCCCATAACTTTGAGGTACACCAGTTAGATGTAGATTTGGTCTTTTCACATAATCCCATATTTCTTGGAGGTTTTGTTCATTTCTTTTTGTTCTTTTTTCTTTAAACTTCTCTTCACACTTCACTTCATTCATTTTGTCTTCCATTGCTGATACCCTTTCTTCCAGTTGATCGCATCAGTTACTGAGGCTTGTGCATTCGTCACGTACTTCTCATGCCATGGTTTTCAGTTCCTTCAGGTCCTTTAAGGACTTCTCTGCATTGGTTATTCTAGTTATCCATTCGTCTAATTATTTTTCAAAGTTTTTAACTTCTTGCCATTGGTTCAAACTTCCTCCTTTAGCTCAGAGTAGTTTCATCTTCTGAAGCCTTCCTCTCTCAACTTGTCAAAGTCGTTCTCCATCCAGCTTTGTTCTGTTGCTGGTGAGGAGCTGCAGTCCTTTGGAGGAGGAGAGGCACTCTGATTTTTAGTGTTTCCAGTTTTTCTGCTCTGTTTTTTCCCCATCTTTGTGGTTTTATCTACCTTTGGTCTTTGATGATGGTGACGTACAGATGGGTGTTTGGTGTGGATGTCCTTTCTGTTTGTTAGTTTTCCTTCTAACAGTCAGGACCCTCAGCTGCATGTCTGTTGGAGTTTACTGGAGGTCCGCTGCAGACCCTGTTTGCCTGAGTATCAGCAGTGGTGGCTGCAGAACAGCAGATATTGGTGAACTGCAAATGCTGCTGCCTGATCATTCCTCTGGAAATTTTGTCTCAGAGGAGTACCCGGACTTGTGAGGTGTCAGTCCACCCCTACTGGGGGCTGCCTCCCTGTTAGGCTACTTGGGGTTCAGGGACCCACTTGAGGAAGCAGTCTGTCCATTCTCAGATCTCAAGCTGCATGCTGGGAGAACTAGTACTCTCTTCAAAGCTGTCAGACAGGGACATTGAAGTCTGCGGGGGTTATTGCTGTCTTTTGTTTGTGCCCTGCCCCCAGAGGTGGAGCCTACAGAGGCAGGCAGGCCTCCTTGAGCCATGGTGGGCTCCACCCATTTTGAGCTTCCCTGCAGCTTTGTTTACCTACTCAAGCCTGAGCAATGGCAGGCGGCCCTCCCCCACTCTCACTGCCACCTTGCAGTTTGATCTCAGCCTGCTGTGCTAGCAATGAGCGAGGCTCCATGGGTGTAGGCCCCTCCAAGCCATGTGCGGGATGTAATCTCCTGGTGTGCCATTTGATAAGCCCATTGGAAAAGTGCAGTATTAGGGTGGAAGTGACCCGACTTTCCAGGTGCCGTCTGTCACCCCTTTCTTTGACTAGGAAAGGGAGTTCCCTGACCCCTTGCACTTCCCAGGTGAGGCGATGCCTTGCCCTGCTTCAGCTCATGCATGGTGCGCTGCACCCACTGTCTGGTACTCCCCAGTGAGATGAACCCGGTACCTCAGTTGGAAATGCAGAAATCACCCATCTTCTGCGTCACTCACTCTGGCAGCTGTAGACTGGAGCTGTTACTATTCGGCCATCTTGGCTCCACCCCCCTACTCTGTATTTTCTGACCTACATCTCCCATTTCCTTACTCAAAACATGTCCTTGGCAAACACTGTTTCATTTTCTATTTCTGTATATTTGAATTTTTAAAAAATATTTCAGATCTACATGAGATCATGCAATTATTTTTCTTCCTGTGTTTGGTTTATTTCACTAAGCATAATTCTTCTAAGCTCATCCATGTTGTGATGAATGACAATATATCATTCTTTTTTTAGGGCTGAATAATATTCCATTCTATATATGTACTACAGTTTAAACATTTGTCCACTGATGATCATTTAGATTGTTTCCATATCTTGGCTGTTATGAATAATGCTGCAGTAAATATGGGAGTGCAGACATCTTTATGAAGTGGTGATTTCATTTCCTTTGGGTATATTCCCATAAGGGGGATTGATGGTAGTTCTAATTTTAATTCCTTTAGTTGCCTCCATATTGTTTCTCATAATGGCTGTGCCAAGCTACATTCCTACTGACAGTGTGTAAGAATTCCCTTTTCTCTTTACCTCACCAACATTTGTTATCTTTTGACTTTTTGACAATAACCATCATAACAGGTGTAATGTGGTATCTTATAGTGATTTTGATTTGCATTCCCAATGATTAGTGATGTTAAGCACCTTTTCATATACCTCTTGGTCATTTTTATGTCTTCTCTGGGGAAATGTCTATTCAGATCCTTTGCCCATTTTAAAATCAGCTTATTTGTTTTTTTCAGTATTGAATTTATGAGTTCTTTATAAATCTTGATTATTAATTCCTTATCAAATTTATGGTTTGCAAATATATTTTCCAATCCTTAAGCTGCCATTTCATTTTGTTGGTTGTTTCTTTTATTATGTAGAAGCTCATACAAGTCTGGTGGAACATACACGTATCAGTCAATGTGATACATCACATTTACAGAATGAAAGGTAAAAACCACATGATCACCTCAACTGACACTGAAAAAGCTTTTGACAAAGTCCAACATTCTTTCTTGATAAAAACTCTCAACAGTGTTAAAAATAATAAATTCAGTAAAGATACAAAATGCAAGATGCAAAATGAATATAGCAAAATCAGTAGCATTTTTATATATGAATAATGATCTAACTGAAAAAGACATCAAGAAAGCAATTCCACTTATGATAGCATAAAAAATCCTAGGAATAAATCTAAGCAAGGAATTAGGATATCTATACATAGAAAACTCTAAAGCACTGAAAGAAATTGATGAAGACACAAATAAATAGAAATATGTCCTGTGCTCATGGAGCAGAAGAATTAATATGATTAAAATGACCATATTACCCAAAGTAATCTACAGATTTAATGCAAGCCCTATCCAAACCTAACGGCATTCTTCACAGAAATAGAAAAAACAATCACAAATTTTATATGGAAACGTAAAAGACCCTGAATGGCCAAAACAATTTTGAGAAAGAAAACACTGGAGGCACCACACTTCCTGATTTAAAATATATTACAAAGCTAAAGCTCATCACAACAGTATGGTACTGACATAAAAACAGACCCATAGACCAGTGGAACAGAATAGAGAGCCCAGAAGTAAACCCAAATACATGTGGTCAACTAATTTTTGACAAAGACACCAAAAAAGAACAATGGCGAAAATGACAATCTCTTCCAATAAATGGTGCTGGGAACGTTGAATTTCCACATGCAAAATAATAAAATTGGGGGCTGGGCATGGTTACTCACACCTGTAATCCCAGACTTTGGGAGGTTGAGGTGGGAGAATTGCTTGAGCCCAGGGACTTAAGAACAGACTAGGTGACATAGTGAGACACTATCTATTAAAAAAAAAATGGCTGGGCGTTGTAGCACGTTCCTTAGTTCCAGCTACTTGGCAGGCTGAGACCAAAGAATCGCTTGAGCCCAGAAATTCAAGGCTGTAGTGAGTTGTGATTGCACCACTGCACTGCACTGCACTCCAGCTTGGGTGACAGAGTGAGACCCTGTCAAAAAAAAAAAAAAAAAAAAAGGAAAAGAAAAGAAAAAAATGGAATCCTCATCTTACACCATATGCAAAAATCAACTCAAAATGGATAAAAGACCTAAATATAAAAATTGATATTTGAGACTAGTCAAACCACTGAACATCAGTCATATTTAGGCTATTTATTACATTTGAAACTATGAAACTCCTAGAAGAGACAGACTATAGGAGAAAAGCTCCTAGACATTGGCCTTGGCTGTGATGTTTTAGATTTTATACCAAACGCTCAGGCCATAAAAGTAAAAATAAATAAGTGGGACTACATCAAGCCTTTATCTGTTTTAAATTTGAATTATACGTAGTTTTATTGTTGAATTGTAAGTCTTTTTTATAGATTCAGGATACATATGCCTAACAAGATTTGGTGGCATAATATGTAAAATTAAGGTTCAATATTATGTGCTGACTTCACATTTGGAAAAATCGCAAGGGCCTCGAATGGCCTAACTGTAGGTTCTCCTCCCCATTCTGCTGCCATAGATAAGGTCGCCTAGAAATAGCCCTGCTTATGAAATGGACCAGATGTGGTTCCTGCTTATTCGTGAGTGGCAGGTTTCAATTTCCTGCCAGTCCATGGGATTTTTCCAATAAGCCAATCACATCCTCTCATTGGAACCAGGGGACGTTGCATCCTCTTGATACTACAAAGTCAGCTTCCCAAAGCCCTTGTCATTCACTCTGTTCCTGAGTAAACCTCTATGTGGTCCTGTGTGGTGTGGTGTCCTCCTCCCCTGAGGTATGAGTGCATGTGACTAACAAACTGCTGTCAATCTCCTCTTTCTGGTGGCGGAAGTTGGGCCATCCCCATAACTCTAGGGTGGGAATCCCTTTCACCAATGAGCTGAACAAGAGGCAATCAAAACAAATTTGCAAATATTTTTTTCCCATTTTGTGTGTGGTCTTTCACTTCCTTGATAGTCTCATTTGAAGCATAAAAGTCTTAAATTTTGATGAAGTCCTATTTATCTTTTTGTTTTGTTTTGTTGGTGGTTGCTTGTGCTTTTGGTCCCATATCTAAGAAGGCTTTACTTAACCCCAAATCACATAGATGCACTCCTATGTTTTCTTCTAAGAGTTTATAGTTTTAGCTCTTACATTTGGTTTATGATCCATTTGGAGTTAATTTTAGTGTGTGGTATAAGGAATGGCTTCAACCTTATTCTTTTACACGTGGATATCCGGTTATTCAATACCATTTGTTGAAGAGTATTTTCCCCCACTGAATTATTTTGGCACCTCTGCCAAAAGTTGTCCATTACCTTTTGAATAGTTTTTCTATATTTTGAGAAGTTTCCATTTTTGAGTCCCACATTTGTGCTGTAGAGTCAAAACTTAAGTTTATAGCTTTTCTTGGAGCTAAATATGAGCATGTGTCTGAGGATTCTGCTATCAGATAAGCCCATGAAAGACTCTGATACATAGGAGAGCAATATGAGCAAACAGGCTCTAGGTGGAACCACCTACCTGCTGATGAAGTGGTGGCAATGGCTACAGGGGTCCCTAGTCTTTGATGGGGCCATGGAAGTGGTGTTTGTTTCTTTAACAAGTCAGCTGTATCTTGTTTTTTTTTGCATTATATCCAAGCTAATGCTTGGGCCTTGTTCTCCAACACTTCTATGGATTATCATATGTTTTTTTCTTTTTGATTAATCAGCCAATGTCAGCTTCTGTTGTTCACAACCAACAGCCTGGGTGATACGCACTTAATGGAAAAAGAAAATAGAATTTAAGGTAATAAATTGCACTTTAACTTTGCATAGAACATGAATTTGACAATTTCTACTGGCCTTTGTGATGGGGGTTTAGGGGACTTAGAAAACAGTATCTCTTTCAAGCCAGTCAGATGCAATTGTCTGCTGCCAAATTAAAGACAAGCAGTGGACTCTGCAATTAAATTTGCATAGATGCTTTATATTTTCATCTCTGACCAGCTTTGCTTCAGTTCTTTTCCTGTTTTAGAACTTTAGCTCTATACCACAGTTAGGCCCGTATGACATTCTCAGACCTGGTTGTACAAGTAGGCTCCCTGCTTTGACTCATTTGACTTACGTCTCTTCCTTAAAGAATGGGATGTGACAGACCTCTCCGGTCCTTCACATCTAAATAATCAGCCTGTTCATCAATCCCTTAAGACCCAATCCTTGGCTCCATGTAGCTTAGCCTGTTAAAGATTGGACCTGCCTAGCCAAATTCAATCCGTTTTGCTCTAGTTCTCTGGATTCAAGGGCATGCCAATTGCTATGTGGGGTAGAGAAAAGTTGTATGTCATGAAAAATGTCCCATGGAGGAAATAAAACACTGACATTTGATGGGAGAGAACAGCTATAATGAGTCAATTGAAGGGGTGAGAGAGCAGTAAGCCACCTGGTACTTTCTGACCTCTCCTTGACAGAGACCACCAGTTCTAATCCCTCTCCTTTCTCCTGCAAAAACTTTTTGATAAACTAGACAAATGGCTTCACTTCTTCATGGAGATTCAAATCCTTAAGAAACAGAGCCCATCATTTGTTAATGAATTCAAAGATTTGGTCTTTTTTATGTTCTATCTGTAAAGTGATTAAACTAAATATGTTACCGGAATCCTCTCTTCTCTGGAAATTACATATTCTGTATTTCCTATTTCTCCTCATCACTAAATTCACACTTCAGGGCTTGGAGCTACTTATATTGGCAACCTCAGTAGCTACAAATAATGATCTTGGCATAAGTTGTGGGGTGGATGGAGGAGATTTCTTTAGAGATCTTGTGAAGATGTCAAGATTGTCTCCTTTAGATGTCGTAGTGGTTGCTGGGTAATGCAATACTGATGGTTCCTAGTATGAAGATGTATATTGCATGTTCTCCATCTTGGAGAATTGAAATCTACTGTCATTTTATTTTTGCCTCTTAGACAATGAGCTTAAATCTTTGCCTACATCATTAAAAACTAGAATTAGTCTGAACAGTGTCATTGGGGAAAGTTAGATATTTTTGAGAGCATGAACCAAGAAAAATAGACAGGTAAAAGTAATGTGAAATGGTCTCTGGCAAAGTCATTATGTTTGATAGGTTTTTCTAAGGCATTAACCTCAGAGGTGTCTTCAAGAGATGCTTTCAAGATACAGCACTCTTATAAAATAAGACATCAGTCAGTGGGCTAAAAAATAGGCTAGGACCTAGAGGGACTCTATTTGAAATTCCATTTCAGTACTGAATTTCTGAGGCACAGTGGCAAAGTCATTTAGTTCAACATGGCTTCAGTTTTGCTACCTGTAAATGGGATAGCTTCTTATGTAGTTTAATAGTTTATACTTTCTTCAGATTACGGAAGCATTATACATGTATTCATGAAAAAATGCATTTAGACAAAAAGAATATCAAATACATCTTCAATCTTCCTCCAACCCAGAGGAAATAATTACGTTGGTGCATATCCTTCAAGATTTGCAGATTATCTTTGCATCCTCAGTTTCAAGAACCATCATTAATTAAATGACTGATGAACAGCGAAAATTTAGTCAAATTTTAAATTTCACTCTATTACCTTTCTCTATCTGAGGTAAAATAAGTGCAATCGTAACAAAAGGTCAATAAAATTGGCATGAGCAATAGACTTTATGTTATATCACAAAATTGTAATTTTGTACCACCTGAAGCAGATACAATTTTAAGCATGGATATATATGCCTTAGGCAGCCATAGTGGCAAACGGCTCTTGCGGAATTTTGTAGAATATCTTGTAAATGGTTCTCAATCAACAGTGTATGGGAGAAAAATAGTTGCCAATTCGATGACACAGGGTGGGGTACGGCAAGCCCCTTTGCTGATGGAAAAACACTCCTAAGGTAGGAGCCACAGTTCAAGAAATAGGAAAGCCCCTCACCTCTGTGTGATGCTATGTAAGCCAGCCAGTGATGACCAGGGTGACCGAGACTACACAGGGGCTGGTTAGTTCCTTTAAACCTTTGCTGTCTTCATGGAATGGTATGTTTTCCTAACATGCTTAGGGACTCAGGCTAGCTCTAGGGCTCCTCACCCAGAGGGCCTCTCTGGACTGCTCTGTTTGTAAGGGTTTTTGTGGTGAGGTAAGTGGAGTTCCTTCCAGTATTATTGTCTCAGCGGGGGGAGAAAGAGACTGAGGTCTAGATCTTTTGAGATGGCACCTCTCCAAAACATTGATTGCTCATGAACAGGAAACTAGCTGCCTGTGGAAGAGAGATGGAAGGGAAATTTTACAGAGTATATAACTTCATGTACATTTGAGTTTTATACCATGTACAAATACTATCTATTCTAAAAACAAATATAAATTAACATTTAAAATATTTAAAAATAGAAACAACAAAAATCAGGTATTTTCAGTGGAGGTTAAATTGCTTTGTGGAATTTTAAAACTCTATATATGGTTTGATTCTCTTGGATGCTTTAAGGGAATATGATGAAATATTTACATGCAGAAAATACTACTTCCTTTACCATCCTGGATTAATTTTAAAAAGGTATAAGTGATGTTGCATTTATAGCAGACTGTATTCCAATATGAGTGCTATGGCTACAGGAGTCAAATTGCTCTAACTAAACCCACCAGGGAATATAAAAGGATATCCCCTAACTCACCTGTGAAGTAAGTATAGCATACTAGTGTCTTCGCCCACTGAGTAAACCTTGTCTTCTCCACAACAGTAGAGCTTTTCAAATCCTAACTGTGTTTTGCATTTTTCACTTTATAATGAGGTTTTGGGTTAATGAGCACTTTTTAGACTCTCCGAGAGACAGTTTTTGTCTTTTGGTTTATTAGGCCGTGCACAGTAGCATTGGAATGTCATTTACTGCACAAATAGGTAATTTATGTAATCCGTTCATATGATTTGAATACATGCAAATAGTGGTACTAGACTGGAATTTGTTATCCTTCCACATGGTAGATTACACAGTTACTGAATAAGCCATTAATGTGACTACACATTAAATAGTCTGCATTCATCCTATGACCTTGTATTTATTTTCCTAATATTTTATATTTTAAATTTAATTTGAGCAAGGAATGAGCTTGACTGCTAGGAAACATACTTAACATAGACTGTATTCTGTTAATCTTTGTTTAGAAATTTCTTTTAGAGTTTTAGGCAAGTAGACATTTTGAATTTTCTACTTATTCATTTTATTGTGCTATTAAGATTATTAAGAAGTTAATAACTAAAAACATATCAAGTGAAATTGTCTTCATGTTAATAACCCAAGCACAGATGTAAGCATACATTTATTGTGTGCCCTCATTGTATCTAGCCACCTTTGCAATACTAAAAATAACTTGGTTTTGTGCATTTCTGATCTCTTTTTTTCAATCTCTTCCTTCTCATTATCATTGGGCCTTCTTGCTCAAGTTCTCCATCTCTTTCTCTGCCTACTTGCCTTTCCTTCTATTCCCCTCTGGGCCAACCAGATCAACTGGAGGCTTGTAAACTGATAACCCTGGTTATAGCTCAGTACAATCAGAGGAAAAGGGTTCTTAACATTCTTGATTTCTGCCTTTCTCTCTAAACTGTGAGTCTGATTAAATTATGCACTTGATGTTGATGTTCTTAAAAGCACATTTAATGGGATGCAGCAATCAAGTAAAATTTCCTTGTTTTATTTTTTCTGAGTTCTTTTTATAGTGAAAAATAGCAAACACATAGCAAAATTGGATAAAACATAAATGTGCCACTTAATAAATATTTTAAGGCCAAAGAGTATTTAACCATCACCCAGGTAAATAGGTTGCCAGCACCTAAGAATTTCCTTGCATTTCCTTCCCTTTATCCCCACCAATTAACCACTATCCAGACTTTTATGGTAATTATTTCCTTTTCTCTATAATTTCACCACCTATGTATGCATTCTCTCAAACAGTAGTTTAGTTTTGTGTATATTTTTAAACTTCATATAAGTTTAGCTTATAAGTGTTTGGGTCTGGTTTTGTATGGGTCAGGAAACAAGTAGCATATTTAAAAGGAGGATTTAAAAGTTTCACAAAGAGACTATATACAAGTTGTGTGCTAGGTTAAAGGAAATCAATAAAGGATGATGTAATACTCCAGGGCTGGCAATGGCTGTGGAGTGGGGAATGTTTACTACCCCTGGACCCAAAGGGCTCAGGCAAGGTGCAAGCAGTTACAGGAATCCTGTGCTTGCCACTGCTGTAGGGGAGAGCAGCTCAACAGCCAGCATGGGCTTTGGTTAGAGGAATGCAGCCCAACAATCTACGCACTGGCAGGGAGAGTACTAAGGAACAAATATCCTGGCCTCTTGCCCTCTGCTCTGTCTCTTGTTGGTTGTATCTGACTAAAAGTCAGAGTGCAAGTGGCTTCTTTGAAGTCCATACTGGTGAGGCCCTCAGGCACAGAGAAGGGTAGAGAGTGTACCTGGAGGGTCAAATAGACCATGTCCTGAACAGGCTTCTTTTGCTTGCCCTTATTTCACATTGTTGTAAATGGCTGTATTTTGTTATTTTCACCGCTGTATAGTGCTTTATTATGGAAACATTATTATTTATAGATTTTATTGTTGATGAACATTTGGGTTGTATCTTGTTTTTGGCTATTAATGCATGTCTATTGAGACACATGGGGATGTTTTCTCTTGGGTGTATATCAAGGAGCAGAATTACTAGAAAATGTGGTGTGTGTATATGCAGTTTTGGTAAATAATGTCAAAGTATTTTCCAGAGTCCTTGTTTTACACTGCCACCTGCAGTCATTGAGATTTCTGTTTTTCCACAGCCTTTCAAATCTTACGTTGTCAATCTTTTTACTTTTACCCATATTGGTGTGTGGTATAATGTTATTCAGTTTGCATTTTCTTTGTCAGTAACAGGTCCACACATTGTTCATTTTCATTAGCTATTTGGATAATCTGTATATTCAACACTCTTGTTCATTTTCTATTGCATGTTCTCCCTTTTCCTTATTTATATGTAGGAAGATTTAAAAATATATTCCTAATTACTAGTTCTTTTTTGGATATAGAGGCACACACATACACACACACACACACACACACACAACTTCCTACTTTATAGTCTTTGTTTCCTGTCTTAATCATGTATTTTGATGGATAGCTTTTTAATTTATTATTACCTAATTTACCAATCATTTCTCTTATAGTTAGTGCTTTTGTGTTCTATATAAAAACTAACTCCCTCTCCATTAATTTAGATTCTTTCCAATTTCTCTTAATAATATTTTATAGTTTTATGTATAAAAGCTTTACATATCTTTTATTGCTTTTATTCCTATTTTATATTTTTTACAGTATTACAAATAGTACCTTTTAAAACTGAATTTTCTAATTCTTTATGCTCTTGCAGAGAAATAAAATTTTATATAGCAATTTATTTTCCAAGTAGGAAACTAAAGACTATTCTAGGCATTTTATACAGAGGGAGTTTAATATAGGGGATTTATAACATAGGTGGTAGAGGAACTGAGAATCGAAAGAGGGTAAATAATGGGGCAACCAAGAAGTTATAAAAGGGGGGTAAGCTGCTTGCACTTCTAGACCAAAGGGACAAAGAAATGAGGCAATACTACTGAAGCCCAGAGCCCAGCATCACTCAGCAGAAGTGGAACCGTGAGGATCCTGTGTAGCAGGAACTAGAATCAGTAGTTACCTGAGATGCTACAGAAGACAGAGGGAGAGAGGAAAATGCCTTTTTCCCTCTGCCTACTAATATTCATAAGTACCTTCCATTGGCTGAATATATGTAGAAGCCAGAGGCAAAGGAGGCTGAAATTCAGGGGAAAACATGGGAAAATGGAGTGTAGATCTGATATGAATAGGTAGCTGATTGACCTATTACTTATTCTGATGATTTATTGCTCCTACCCATCTATCTTTTTATTTGTATTTGAATACATGCAACGATATCTTCTACCAATAATGACATTTTTATTATTTCCCTTTCAATCCTTATAACTTGTTCATTTTTGTACTGGCTAGATGTGAGCAGATTTATAGGCTCCAGAGGCTACCAGAGTATTCTGAGTTGCCCTGAAGTCTTCCTGGATCCATCTAAGGATCTTCTTGGATACTTCAAGCCCACTTGACAGGTCTCACTGCATCTAGCTTATTATTAGAATTACAGACTCATGGAATTTTTGAGCTGGAAGGGATCTAAGAGGTCACCTATCCAAGGGTTGATAAACTATGGATCTTGGGCCAAATCTGGCTGCTACCTGTTTTCGTAAATAAAGTTTTCTTGGAACATAGCACATTTCTTTGTTTACATAATATCTTTGCGTGCTTGCTTTTAAGCTATAATGGCAGAGTTGTTTAGTTGAATAAAGACTATATGGCCCTCAAAGCCCAAAATATTTATTATCTGGCTCTTGACAGATAAGCTTGCTGACTCCCGATCTAGTTTATCCTCTTCATTTGAGAGATGAGGAGATTGGTCACCACCCATGGTCACACAGCTGTTACAGGCAGAATGTAGATTGAATCAGAATTCTAGATTTATAAACTAGTGTTTCATCACTGCACTATATGATTAAAATCCTCTCCCTGATCCGACATGAAAGTCTGCATCCTAGGATGAGGCTTATCCTGGTAGGATGGAGCTCCTAAAGTTGAGATGGTCAGGGACCCCACAGCCAGATGGGAAACCAGCTCAGACTCACCGGGTGCAACCTGTCAAAGCCTTTATTCCTATCATAGATAAGACCCTGACAATAATAGTGTACTTTAGCCCTTGAGCAATAAAGAAAGGAAAAAATATCAGCAATAAGCTCCTTCTCTTTTTTGTCTATAGCTCTCTCCTCCACATGCAGTAACAACATGATGGTAGATAATGTTTAGTAAAAGTACTAGAAAAATTTAAATTTGTTAATTTCAACTTGGAAATATTCTGTTACTGTTTGCTTGAAAGTTAAAAATCCCAAAGGACCTTGAATTATTATTTACTGTCCTTGTTGCCATTATTCACAGCTTCTTAGGCATACAAACATTCAATTAAATTTTCAAGCCATGCTATTTGGATGGATGCAGGGAGAATTTCTGTTGAAAAAGAGATGACCTCAAATCTTTGTTTTTCAATATTGAGGTCTAGGCTTTCTTCTATTTGAAAAGGCATAAGCAATTATTAAAAAACATGTTTATATTATTTTACATTTTTTCTTTCTCATACTCTTTATCTCCTACTTTCTCACTATCTCTAACACAACTCTGGAGTCTGCAGATGGAAAGAATGTGAGCTTTAAGCTTGTCCTTGTCCTCTTGTTTACTGCTGCATTGTTTCTGGGTGTGAAGTGCCAATTACCATAAAAAAGCTTTTACTTAACTAGATATTTCTACAAATGAGGACTTTTCAGTAAGAGCAATAAGGAAATTAATTTGGTTTTTTATCAACCCAAACTTGTCATTCGTCTTTTACTACATTGTAGGGTAATTTTCTTTTTAAAAAGTTCACTTCAAGTGCTCTCTGCTTTGACTTTCTTTGCAAAGCTATGACTTCAGCAGGACTACTTTAGAACCAAAATATCAGATTTAATTTTTTTGTTTTTATTTATTTAAGTATTTAAGACAATGGTTGTGCTTTCTCTCCATGAGTACTTTCTTTTGGCTCTGACCCAGCATCTCTCTGTCTTTTCCCCTAGATAACCCATGGACAAGTGTCTTAGTAGCATGGAGGTAGTTGCAGAGGGGATACCTGCATCATTTCACAGAACTCCCAATACATGACTCTGCCATTCTCTGAACCATTTCCTTCTTCTTGAGGAAGAGACAATGTGAAAAGAGACGATCTGGGTTGCTTGCCTTGTTTTTATTTCCTGTACTGGGGAACTAGCAGCTCTATATTATGTAAGACTTTTCATTATGCCATAGTTCCAAAATCAGGCTAGATACTTGCATTAAAAGTAGAGAGTGGAGGAATGGGTAATATTAAGTTGAGCATGAAATCTAGTGTCTTATCTTTTCCTTTTTTTGACATGAGTCCCCTAGAGCCAACAATCTGAACATTTAATTCCCTATTGACTATGTAATGGGAAAAGCTCAGGTTTTTCCCACCTATTCCTAAACAAGGCCACAGTCACAGTAATAACCAAATCTCAGTCCCTTAAGGTTCTACTTCCTTGACCAAAGACAATTTTGTTGCTTTTTTCACCCATAGTTTCCCCCTGTTGATTTCTGAGACTCCTCAGGGGGCTCATATGTCTCCACAATTTAGTTCTGGTTACTGCCCAGTGCTGCTACATGCAGAGGTAGGATGTCATGATATCTCTCCTGCAGAACACACAAGTGTTCTTAGCCCTATGGCTCTACCTCATTCAGAGATTTTTTTCTCCTAGCCCTGTTTCTGCTAGTGCCTCAAATAAGTGCTGAAGTCCAGTATCTAAAGAACTCAGTGCCACTTGGCCACTCAGCTGTGGAACCAGAGTTCTGTAAATTGACATATGCAAGTGGAAAAGGACAATGTTCCTTTCATGCCATGTACCCACACCAGTTGTACATGGGCATATGCAATGTTATAGCTCTCCTACCTGCCTTGATCTAGCAATTTGCTTCTGGGCAGGAAGCTCTAATTAAGATATTACTGTCTTCAAGGAGGATCTCAGGCAATTTGTCCATATATTCATGATGATCATGATATTATAAGGTGAGAGAATATTTTTTTCTGAGCGATGTTTGGTCAGAGCCCGTAAGTGTCAAAGTTAATAACTGTTAATAGTGCAGCTTTTCCAATTCATAAATTTTCCAATTCATAAATTCCCGTTTCCTCACTCTGATCTTCCCATCCAGGGGAGATAACAATTTATCTGTCCAATTATTCTCATATATCCAGAATGGTTAGACAGAAACAAGTACAAGTATTAATGCTTTAGAGACATATCCAGTGAAGTCAGGATAGGCTGGGCATAAAGACAGGGCTAGGACCTTTGACTTTGAGAGAAGCAAATGCTTAAAGAGATTCTGTCTCTGCTTTCCTTCTCTCCATATCTCAAGATCCTGTATTCCTATTGATTACTTTTATGCCTTTTCATCACAAGTTTAGAAAGAGTTGCATCAACATGTTATCTTAAAAAATGTCATCACTTTTGGAGAATATGCTTAGAGGGCAACTGTTGCCCTTTCTTACCACAGACCACAGTTATATTTGGATGACTTTGCTGTATTTAGAACAAACTCCCCTCTATTTCTCAAGTTTGGTGCTGAGTCTGACTTTTAGAACAAATTCCTAACTCCTGTATGGCTAAAAGTTCTTACTTTTTTTAATAGCTATGAACCTCTTTGGAAGTCTGAAGTCTGGAGCCTGTGGACCTTTCTCAGGATATGTTTAAATAGTGTCAAATACACAGAATTATAAAGAAGGCTAATTAAAGGACAGTTAACAAAACTTTTTTTTTAAAAAATAGCTTCTTTATTTACACATTTTATAACAAGATCCAGTGATAGGTCTAGTAAACAATTTTGAAGTAGTGATAAAATGATATTTTGAATTAATTGCAATAACTGTAACATTAGATGAAAATATCTGTGTTTTCCATTGGTGATAAAGTTACAAATATTGCTAACACTGTTCTGGTTTGAAATAGAGGAAATATTATAGAGTAGTTAAAGATTAGTAAAAACAAACATGCATTTTTTTTTCTATGCAAGTTCATGGACTCCCTGAATTTGGAGTTTGTAGATCCTTAGCTAATATGGTAAGCTCTGAGTAGGGTCCTCGTAGTTCTTCCTGTTTTCTAGTCTTGGTCAAGATGGCTGTAATCCATTCTGCGATATCTTTGTCTCTTGAAGGGAATCAGAATTTCCTCTGGTTCGATAACAATTTTTGGCCCCTTAGGAAATTATAAGAAAAGAAATGCTGCTCAATTACACTGCTGAGAAGAATCCAATGCTCAAGGACAAATGGGGCTTCGGGCAGTAGGGAGGAGGGTTGCCATCTACTCTCTTCTGCAGCATTTCAACCCAGCTCCCTCTTAGGACTTTTAGGCATTTTGGTGCTTACCTCAGGTTTATGGAGTAGACAAAGATTGTTCCATTCTTCCATACACAAACCTTGTATCCCATATAAACTGGCTTTCTTAATGTTTTCTTACCTCTCCTTGTGCCTTCCCACCTCTGTGCTTGGTGTGTGCTGTCCTTTCTCCTGAGGTGCCCCACTTTCTATCACTCTGTCAAAAGACTTTGGATCTGGTGAGACCATGGATTATTTGTTTTATTTATTTTCCTCATTAAAATCCCCCCTTAATGCCTGTGGAATAGCTAAGATTTGTGTTGTATGCACTACTCTTATAGAAAAATATGCAGTGTTTATTTTGAAACATTGTGCCAACATTTTTGGTCCCATTCAAATCCAACTACCTCCTTGGGGCCTTCCCTGATATTCTCAGTTTCACTGGGACTCTCAACATGAATTCACATTACCTCCCCTGTGCTTCTCACATTCTGTCTACATTAGCGAATTAATTGCTTATTGAACAAATTCCTCATCTTGTCTTTCCTTCCAGATTAAGTCCTTTGAAAATAGTGCCCATGTGTTTATTAATGGCCATATTCTCCCAGCACCCAGCCCAATATCTTGCACATAATATCCTATTTTATCATATTCTAATTAGCTAATTATTTAAGATGCCACATGGTAAGCACTTAAGAAAAAACACTTGGGGCCATATTTTGAATGTAAGCAATGATAAGTAACATTTCATTTAAATTAATGTAAAGTTGTTTTGAAAAGGCTACTTACTATTCACCGCAATAAGAGCTGTTAAGAGGGCAGTATTTCTACTCATCTTTCTGCATCAGGCCCCAGCCCAGCCCTGGCCTGGCTCCATTTAGCCAAAGAAGGATTTTTTTTTGGTTGTTAATCAGGTTGGTCAAGCCATTTATTGGGCTTCCTGAGGAAGGCATTTCCTTTAATTCCTAGTCTTCTATTATATTTTGCATATTATTTCCCCAGTTCTGATTATCTCAGGGAGGAACTGATTGTTTCTGAGTCTCTATCTATAAGTGATATATGCCATCAGAATTTTGCCAAAATTGTACCTATCTTGTAAACATCACAGAGGAGAGCTACAATGGAAAGTTGACTTCATTCTTTTTATTACATAGGTAGCTATGTTTTCTGTACTTATTTAGAATTTTAGAACATTATGATACATTATCCAATTTCATAGTATTGATGGTAGGAAGTACTGTTCACTGGCTCCAGACCCTCATGGCAGGTTTGTGCCAGATTTTGAGACTTGTGTAGTGAAAGGAGATCCAAATGACATAAACTTCTTGCAGTAGCATTTTTTTTTTTTTTTTTTTTTTTTTTTTTTTTTTTTTCTGTGTTCAGGAGTGCAAGAAAGCAGATTGGGCTCAGTGGGGCGGTTTTGCTCTACTTTGAAGTGATGAGAAGAAACCCTGAGTGGAGCTGCAAGTTTTGCACCCAGCTCTGCCAGCTCTGCAGCTGGCAGCCATGGTATCAGTGTGGCCTTTCCAGCTACCTCTGGTCTTGATATGCACTTCCCTTGTATGCAATAAACTCTATGTTATTTCTCAGCTTATATTTCCTTCGGTTGGAGCTGTGATCTGGTTCTGCAACATATCCAATTGTGATATAAACAATGTGGATAAAAATCTATTAATGTCACAGAAAAATGCAAGTATAGAGTGCCTATGGCATGGTTTTGTAATATTTCCAATGTTTACAACTTAAACTTTTTATACTCTTCCTGCCTTAATTTGTTGTTGTCATGTTTTGTTTTGTTTTAGACTTTTCACAGCCTGAAGCCACAGTTTTTAGTTTTTATCTCTACTGATAAGTGGAAAAGAGGGATGAGGAAGGGGCTTTACTGGCCCAACCAGAAACAGAAACTAAGATCCCATGACTGTATTCTCTCCCTTGTACAGTCCTGCAGTCTAAACCATGTTTTAGGTTCCCTGCCTCTTTGTAACATTGTTCTTTCAACAGGAAGCAATAGTTATGGAAATTGGGGACTACATTAACCAACCAGCACTTTCTATTTTTTGTTGTTGTTATTACTCTATTTTATTCTTTTTTTATTATTATTATACTTTAAGTTCTGGGATACATGTTCAGAATGTGCAGGTTTGTTACATAGGTATACATGTGCCATGGTGGTTGGCTGCACCTATCAACCCATCACCTACATTAGGTATTTCTCCTAATGCTATCCCTCCCCTTGTCCCCCACTGGGCCCTGACAGGCCCCAGTGTGTAATGTTCCCCTCCCTGTGTCCATGTGTTCTCATTGTTCAACTCCCACGTATGCGCGAGAACATGCAGTGTTTGGTTTTCTCTTCTTGTGTTAGTTTGCTGAGAATGCTGGTTTCCAGCTCCATCCATGTCCCTGCAAAGGACATGAACTCATTCCTTTTTATGGCTGCCTAGTATTCCATGGTGTATATATGCCACATTTTCTTTATCCAGTTTAACATTGATGGGCATTTGGGTTGGTTCCACATCTTTGCTATTGTGAATGGTGCCACAATAAACATACGGGTGCATGTGTATTTATCGTAGAATGATTTATAATCCATTGGGTATATACCCAGTAATGAGATTGCTGGGTCAAATGGTATTTCTAGTTCTAGATCCTTGAGGAATCACCACACTGTCTTCCACAATGGTTGAACTAATTTACACTCCCACCAACAGTGTAAAAGCATTCCTATTTCTCCACATCCTCCCCCAGCACCTGTTGTTTCCTGACTTTTCAATGATCATCATTCTAACTGGTGTGAGATGATATCTCATTGTGGTTTTGATTTGCATTTCTCTAATGACCAGTGATGATGAGCTTTTTTTCATATGCTTGTTGGCCACATAAATGTCTTCTTTTGAAAATGGTCTGTTCATATCCTTCACCCACTTTTTGATGGGATTATTTGTTTTTATCTTGTAAATTTGTTTAAGTTCCTTGTAGATTCTGGATATTAGCCCTTTGTCAGATGGATAGATTGCAAAAATTTTCTATGACTCTGTAGGTTGCCTGTTTACTCTGATGATAGTTTCTCTTGCTGCACAGAAGCTCTTTGGTTTAAGTAGATCCCATTTGTCAATTTTGGCTTTTGTTGCCATTGCTTTTGGTGTTTTAGTCATGAAGTCTTTGCCCATGCCTATGTCCTGAATGGTATTGCCTAGGTTTTCTTCTAGGGTTTTTATGGTTTTAGGTCTTACATTTAAATCTTTAATCCATCTTGAGTTGATTTTTGTATAAGATGTAAGGAAGGGATCCAGTTTCACTTTTCTGCATATGGTTAGCCAGTTTTTTCAATACCATTTATTAAATAGGGAATCCTTTCCCCATTGCTTGTTTTTGTCATGTTTGTCAAAGATCAGATGGTTGTAGATGTGTGACATTATTTCTGAGGCCTCTGTTCTGTTCCATTGGTCTATATATCTGTTTTGGTACCAGATACCATGCTGTTTTGATTACTGTAGCATTGTAGTATATTTGAAGTCAGGTAGTGTGATGCCTTCAGCTTTGTTCTTTTTGCTTAGGATTGTCTTGGCTATACAGGCCCCTTTTGTTTCCATATGAAATTTAAAGTATTTTTTTCTAATCCTCTGAAGAAAGTCAATGGTAGCTTGATGGGAATAGCATTGAAGCTATAAATTACTTTGGGCAGTATGACCATTTTCACAATATTGATTCTGAGCATGGAATGTTTTTTCCATTTGTTTGTGTCCTCTCTTATTTCTTGATCAGTGGTTTGTAGTTCTACTTGAAGAGGTCCTTTGCATCTCTTGTAAGTTGGATTCCTAGGTATTTTATTCTCTTTGTAGCACTTGTGAATGGTAGTTTGCTCATGATTTGGCTGTTTGTCTATTATTGATGTATAGGAATGCTTGTGATTTTTGGACATTGATTTTGTATCCTGAGACTTTGCTTGTGATGACATTGATTTTGTATCCTGAGACTTTGCTGCAGTTGCTTATCAGCTTATGGGGTTTTTGGGCAGAGACAATGGAGTTTTCTAAATACACAGTCATGTCATCTGCAAATAGAGATAATTTGACTTCCTCTCTTCCTATTTGAATATGCTTTATTTCTTTATCTTGCCTGATTGCCCTGGCCAAAACTTCCAATACTATATAGGAATGGTGAGAGAGGGCATCCTTGTCTTGTGCCAGTTTTCAAAGGAAATGCTTCCAGCTTTTGCCCATTCAGGATGATATTGACTGTGGGTTTGTCATAAGTAGCTCTTATTATTTTGAGATATATTCCATCAATACCTAGTTTATTGAGTGTTTTTAGCATGAAGGGGTGTTGAATTTTATTGAAGGCCTTTTCTTCATCTATTGAGAAAATCATATAGTTTTTGTCATTGGTTCTGTTTAGGTGAAGGATTACATTTATTGTTTTTCATATTTTGAACCAGCCTTGCATCCCAGGGATGAAGCCAACTTGATCATGGTGGATAAGCTTTTTAATGTACTGCTGGATTCAGTTTGCCAGTATTTTATTGAGGATTTTCACATCAACTTTCATTAAGGATATTGGCCTGAAATTTTCTTTTTTTTGTTGTGTCTTTGCCAGGTTTTTGTATCAGGATGATGCTGGCTTCTTAAAATGAGTTAGGGAGGAGTCCCTATTTTTCTGTTGTTTGGAATAGTTTAAGAAGGAATTGTCCCAGCTCCTCTTTGTACATCTGGTAGAATTTAGCTGTGAATCCATCCAGTCCTGGGCTTTTTTTGGTTGGTAGGCTATTAATTACTGCCTCAATTTCAGAACTTGTTATTGGTCTATTTAGGGATTTGACTTCTTCCTGGTATAGTCTTAGGAAGGTGTATGTGTCCAGGAATTTAACCATTTTTTCTACATTTTCTAGTTTATTTGTGTAGAGGTGTTTATAGCATTCTCTTATGGTAGTTTGTATTACTGTGGGATCAGTGGTGATCTCCCCTTTATCATTTTTTTATTGTGTCTATTTGATTCTCTCTTTTCTTCTATATTTGTCTGGCTACTGGTATATTTTGTTAATCTTTTCAAAAAGCCAGCTCGTAGATTCACTGATGTTTTGAAAGATTTTTCGTGTCTCTATCTCCTTCAGTTCTGCTCTGATCATAGTTACTTCTTGTTGTAGGGAAAAGAAAGAGAGATCAGACTGTTACTGTGTCTATGTAGAAAGGGAAGACATAAGAGACTCCATTTTGAAAAAGACCTGTACTTTAAACAATTGCTTTGCTGAGTTGTTAATTTGTAATTTTGCCCCAATCACTTTCCCCAGCCACTTTGACCCAACCTAAAGCTCACAAAAACATGTGTTGTATAAAATCAAGGTTTAAGGGATCTAGGGCTGTGCAGGATGTGCCTTGTTAACAAAATGTTTACAAGCAGTATACTTGGTAAAAATCATCACCATTCTCTAGTCTCAATAAACCAGGGGCACAATGCACTGCAGAAAGCCACAGGGGCCTCTGCCCTTGACAATGGGGTATTGTCCAAGGTTTCTCCCCATGTAATAGTCTGAAATATGGCCTCATGGGATGAGAAAGACCTGACTGTCCCCCAGCCCAACACCCATAAAGGGTCTGTGCTGAGGTGGATTAGTAAAAGAGGAAAGCCTCTTGCAGTTGAGATAGAGGAAGGCCACTGTCTCCTGCCTGCCCCTGGGAACTGAATGTCTCAGTATAAAACCCGACTGTACATTTGTTGAATTCTGAGATGAGAGAAAAATCGCCCTATTGTGGGAGGCAAGACATGTTTGCAGCAATGCTGCCTTGTTATTCTTTTCTCCACTGAGATGTTTGGGTGGAGAGAAACATAAATCTGGCTTACATGCACGTCCAGTCATAGTATCTTCCCTTGAACTTAATTATGACATAGATTCTATTGCTCACATGTTTGTTGCTGACCTTCTCCTTATTATCATCCTGCCCTCCTGCTACGTTCCTTTTTACTAAAATAATGAAGATAATAATCAATAAAAACTGAAGGAACTCAGAGACCGGTGCCAGTGCAGGTCCTTGGTATGCTGAGCGCCGGTCCCCTGGGCCCACTGTTGTTTCTCTATACTTTGTCTCTGTGTCTTATTTCTTTTCTCAGTCTCTCATCCCACCTGACTAGAAATACCCACAGGTGTGGAGGGGCAGGCCACCCCTTCATCTGGCACCCAACATGGGGCCTTTCTCTAAGGTGAAGGTACGCTAAGAATATGAGCAATGAGGACAGCTGACGAGAGAACCCTGAGTATGTGCACGGTCAACCTTGCGGTAAGCTTGTGCACTCGGAGGAATGCAGAGTAAAAGTGGGGCAAACTAAAAGTAAATATGCCTCATCTCAGCTTCATTAAAATTTTCTTAAGAAGATGGGGAGTTAAAGCTTCTACAGAAAATCTAATTATACTATTTCAAACAATAGAACAATTCTGCCCATGGTTTCCAGAACACAGAACTTTAGATTTAAAAGATTGGGAAAAAAATGGCAAAGAATTAAAACAAGCAACTAGGGAAGGTAAAATCATCCCACTTACCTTCTATGGTATGGTATGGAATGATTGGGCCATTATTAAAGCAACTTTAGAACAATTTCAAATAGAAGAAGATAGTGTTTCAGTGTCTGATGCCCCTAAAAACTGTGTAATAGATTGTGAAGAAGAGGCAGGAACAAGAGTTCAAGAAAGGAATGAAAATATCACATTGTAAATATGTAGCAGAGCTGGTAATGGCTCGGTCAACACAAAATGTTGACTACAATCAATTACAGGAGGTAATATATCCTAAAACATTAAAACTAAAAGGAAAATGTCCAAAACCATCAGGGCCATTGGGGCTAAAACCACAATGGCCACATCCTCCTCAGCCAAGTGATTGCTGGGGGAGGGAGCCTGAAACTAGGCTCGCTGTGACTTGGCTCGCAGCACTCATTATTGCCCAACCTACAGCTCACTACAATGAAGGAGCAATTCAGACTCACCCTGCAGTGTCCTGTATGGGTCAAACAGTGGCCGCTCTCTAAGGAAAAGTTGGGTGTGCTACATAAAATAGTTAAAAAACTATTTTAAAAAGGACATGTTTCACACACTTTCTCTCTTTAAAATTCTGCAGTGTTTGTAATTCAGAAAAAATCAGGCAGATGGTACATGTTAACTGATTTGAGAGTCACTAATGCAATAATTCAACCCATGGGGCCTCTCCAATCTGGGCTACCCTCTCTGGTCATGATCCCCAAAGATTGGCCTTTAATTATAATTGATCTAAAGGATTGCTTTCTTACCATTCCTCTAACAAAACATAATTTAAAAAAATTTGTTTTCACGATACCAGCCATAAACAATAAAGAACAAGTCACCAGATTTCAGTGGAAAGTGTTGCCTCAGGGAATGCTTAATAGTCCAACTATTTGTCAGACTTTTGTAGCTCAAGTTCTTCAACCAGTTAGAGACAAGTTTTCAGACTGTTATATTATTATGCTGATAATATTTTGTGTGCTACAAAAACAAGAGACAAATTAAATGACTGTTACACATTTCTGCAAGCAGAGGTTACCAACACAGAACTGACAATAACATCTAATAAGATTCAGACCTCCACTCCTTTTCATTATCTTGGAATACAGGTAGAGAAAAAAAATTAAACCACAAAAAATAAAAATAAGAAAAGACACATTAAAACATTAAATGACTTTCAAAAATTGCTAGAAAATATTAATTGGATTTGGCCAACTCTAGGCATTCCTACTTATGCCATGTCAAATTTGTTTTCTATCTTGAGAGGGGATCCAGACTTAAATAGTAAAAGAACATTAACTTCAAAAACAACTAAAGAAATTAAATTAGTTAAAAAAAATTCAGTCAACACAAGTTAATAAAATAAATCAGTTAGCCCTACTCCAACTCTTGATTTTTACTACTGCACATTCTCCAACAGGCATTATTGTTCAAAATACAGATCTTGTGAAGTGGTCATTCCTTCCTCACAGTACAGTTAAGACTTTTATGTTGTACTTAGATGAAATGGCTACATTAATTGGTCAGACAAGACTGCAAATAGTAAAACTGTGTGAAAGTAACACAGATAAAATCATTGTTCCTTTAAATAAGGAACAGGTTAGACAAGCCTTTATCAATTCTGCTACATGGCAGATTGGTCTTGCTGATTCTGTAGAAATTATTGATAATCATTACCCAAAAACAAAAATCTTCCAGTTTTTAAAATTGACTACTTGGATTTTACCTAAAATTACCAGACAAAAACCTTTAAAAAATGCTCTGATGGTGTTTACTGATGGTTCCAGCAAATGAAAAGCAGCTTACATGGGCCAAAAGAACAAGTCGTTGAAACTCAATATCACTCAACTCAAAGAGCAAAATTGGTTGCTGTTATTTCAATGTTACAAGATTTTAATCAGCCTATTAACATTGTTTCAAATTCTGCATATGTGGTACAGGCTACAAAGGATGTTAAGACAGCCCTAATCAAATATAGTATGGATGATCAGTTAAATCGGCTGTTTAAATTGTTACAACAAACTGTAAAAAAAAGAAATTTCCTATTTTATATTACTCATGTTCGAGCACATACTAATTTACCAGGGTCTTTAACTAAGGCAAATGAACAAGCCGACTTGCTAGTATCATCTGCCTTCATGAAAACACAAGAACTTCATGCCCTAACTCATGTAAATACAATAGGATTAAAAACTAAATTTGATATAACATAAAAACAGGCAAAAAATATTGTACAACATTGTGCTCAGTGTCAAGTCTTACACCTGCCTACTCAGGAGGCAGGAGTTAATCCCAGAAGTTTATGTCCTAATACATTATGGCAAATGGATGTCACGCATGTACCTTCATTTAAAAAATTGTCATTTGTCCATGTGACAGTTGATACTTATTCACATTTCATATGGGCAACCTGCCAGACAGGAAAAAGTACTTCCCATGTTAAAAAACATTTATTATCTTGTTTTGCTGTCATGGGAGTTCCAAAAAAATTTAAAACAGATAATGGGCCAAGATACTGTAGTAAAACATTTCAAAAATTCTTAAGTCAGTGAAAAATTATACATATAACAGAAATCCCTCATAATTCCCAAGGACAGGCCATAATTAAAAAAATTAATAGAACGCTCAAAGCTCAATTGGTTAAACAAAAAAAGAAAAAAAACAGTAAAAAGTATAACACTCCCCAAATGCAACTTAATCTAGCACTCTATACTTAAAACTTTTCAAACATTTATAAAAATCAGACCACTACTTCTGCAAAACAACATTTTACTGGTAAAAAGAACAGCCCACATGAGGGAAAACTAATTTGGTAAAAAAATAAATAAATAAATAAAACATAGAAAATAGGTAAGGTAATAACATGGGGGAGAGGTTTTACTTGTGTTTCACCAGGAAAAAATCAACTTCCTGTTTAAATATCCACTAGACATTTAAAGTTCTACAATAAGCCTGTCAGAAATGCAAATAAAGATGCCTCCACAAAGACAAAAAACCTGAATCAAGCATCATCGACTCACCAGGTAAACAAGATGATAATATCAAACGAACAGATAAAGTTGCCATCCACCAAAAAAAAAATGGCAGACGTGAAGAGCCAAAAAAAAAAAAAGACTAAGTGTGAAAGAAAAAGAGGACACAAAAAATAAGACAGAAAAAAAGTAAAAAAAAAAAAAACTAAAAAAGACAAAAATCAAAAAAGACACAAAAAGTAAAACTAAAAAAAAAGTAAAAAAAAATTAAAAAAAGACACAAAAAGTAAAACTGAAAATTAAAAAAGTGTAAAAAAAACAAACAAAAAGACAAAAGGTACAAATAGTTAAAAAAAAATTAAAAACTATAAAAAACAACAACTAAAAAACAAAGGAGGCCGAAGACTCCCTGGGTGCAAGCACCCACATTGTCCTCTTGCCCCCTGTCACTTGGGTTAAAACCATTGAAAATTCCACTATTACGAATTTTGTATTAATCCTTGTATGTCTGTCCTCTCTATTGTTAGTCTACAGGTGTATCCAACAACTCTGGAGAGACAATAACTAGCAAGAATGGGCCATAATGACAGTGACAGTTTTGTCAAAAAAAAAAAAAAAAGGAGAATATGTAGGGAAAAGAAAGAGAGATCAGACGGTTACTGTGACTATGTAGAAAGGGAAGACATGAGACTCCATTTTGAAAAAGACCTGTACTTTAAACAATTGCTTTGCTGAGATGTTGTTAATTTGTAGCTTTGCCCCAACCACTTTGACCCAGCCACTTTGACCCAACCTAAAGCTCACAAAAACATGTGTTGTATAAAATCAAGGTTTAAGGGATCTAGGGCTGTGCAGGATGTGCCTTGTTAACAAAATGTTTACAAGCAGTATACTTGGTAAAAATCATCACCATTCTCTAGTCTCAATAAACCAGGGGCACAATGCACTGCAGAAAGCCACAGGGGCCTCTGCCCTTGAAAGTGGGGTATTGTCCAAGGTTTATCTCCATGTAATACTCTGAAATATGGCCTCATGGAATGAGAAAGGCCTGACCGCCCCCCAGCCCAACACCCGTAAAGGGTCTGTGCTGAGGTGGATTAGTAAGAGGAAAGCCTCTTGCAGTTGAGATAGAAGGCCACTGTCTCCTGCCTGCCTCTGGGAACTGAATGTCTCAGTATAAAACCTGATTGTACATTTGTTCAATTCTGAGATGAGAGAAAAACCGCCCTATTGTGGGAGGCAAGACATGTTTGCAGCAATGCTGCCTTGTTATTCTTTATTCCACTGAGATGTTTGGGTGGAGAGAAATATAAATCTGGCTTACATGCACATCCAGTCATAGTATCTTCCCTTGAACTTAATTATGACATAGATTCTATTGCTCACATGTTTGTTGCTGACCTTCTCCTTATCATCCTGCCCTCCTGCTACATTCCTTTTTACTAAAATAATGAAGATAATAATCAATAAAAACTGAAGGAACTCAGAGACCGGTGCCAGTGCAGGTCCTTGGTATGCTGAGCGCCGGTCCCCTGGGCCCACTGTTGTTTCTCTATACTTTGTCCCTGTGTCTTATTTCTTTTCTCAATCTCTCATCCTACCTGACTAGAAATACCCACAGGTGTGGAGGGGCAGGCCACCCCTTCACTTGTCTTCTGCTAGCTTTTGAATTTGTTTGTTCTTGCTTCTCTAGTTCTTCTAATTGCTATGTTAGAGTGTTGATATTAGATCTTTCCTGCTTTCTCTTGTGGGCATTTAGTGCTATAAATTTCCCTCTAAACACTGCTTTAGCTGTGTCCCAGAGATCCTGGTACATTGTCTTTGTTCTCATTCATTTCAAAGAACTTATTTATTTCTGCCTTAATTTCATTATTTCCCCAGTAGTAATTCAGGAGCAGGTTGTTCAGCTTCCATGTAGTCATGTGGTTTTGAGTGATTTTCTTAACCCTGAGTTCTAATTTGATACTGTTTGTTATGATTTCTGTTCTTTTGCACTTGCTGAGAGCGTTTTACTTAAAATTATATGGTCAAGTTTAGAATAAATGTGATGTGGTGCTGAGAAGAATGTATATTCTGTAGACTTGGGGTGGAGAGTTTGTAGATGTCTGTTTGGTCCACTTGGTCCAGAGCTTTGTTCAAGTCCTGAATATCCTTGTTAATTTTGTGTCTTGATGATCTGTCTAATATTGACAATGGGGTATTAAAGTCTCCCATGATAATTCTGTGGGAGTCCAAGTCTCTTTGTAGGTCTCTAGGAACTTGCTTTATGAATCTGTGTACTCCTGTATTGGGTGCATATATATTTAGGATATTTAGCTCTTCTTGTTGCCTTGATCACTTTACCATTACGTAATGTCCTTCTTTGTCTTTTTTTATCTTTATTGGTTTTAAGTCTGTTTTATCAGAGACTAGGATTGCAACCCCTGCTTTTTTTTCTTTTCTTTTTTTTTTTTTTTTTGGCTTTCCATTTGCTTGGTAAATCCTCCTCCATTCCTTTATTTTGAGCCTATGTGTGTCTTTACATTGAGATGGGTCTCCTGAATACAGCACACTTAGGGGTCTTGACTCTTTATCTACTTTGCCAGTCTGTGCCTTTTAATTGGGGCATTTAGCCCATTTACATTTAAGGTTAATATTGTTATGTGTGAATTTGATCCTGTTAATATGATGCTAGCTAGTTACTTTGCCCATTTGTTGATGCAGTTTCTTCATAGTGTCGATGGTTTTTACGATTTGGATGTTTCTGCAGTGGCTGGTACTAGTTTTTCCTTTCCATGTTTAGTGCCTCCTTCAGGAGCTCTTGTAAGGCAGGCCTGATGGTGACAAAATCTCTCAGCATTAGCTTTTTTGTAAAGGATTTTATTTCTCCTTAACTTATGAAGCTTAGTTTGATTGGATATGAAATTCTGGGTTGAAAATTATTTTCTTTGAGAATGTTGAATATTGGCCCCTACTCTCTCCTAGCTTGTTGGGTTTCTGCAGAGAGATCTGCTGTTAGTCTGATGGGCTTCCTTTTGTGGGTAACCTGACCTTTCCCTCTGGCTGCCCTTAACATTTTTTCCTCTATTTCAACCTTGGTGAATCTGACCATTATATGTCTTGGGGTTGCTCTTCTTGAGTAGTATCTTTGTGGTGTTCTCTGTATTTCCTGAATTTGAATGTTGGCCTGTCTTGCTAGGTTGGGGAAGTTCTCCTGGATAATATCATGAAGTGTTTTCCAACTTGGTTCCATTCTCCTGGTGACTTTCAGGTACACCAATCAATCATAGGTTTGGTCTTTTCACATAGTCCTGTATTTCTTAGAGGCTTTGTTCATTCCTTTTCATTTTCTCTCTAATCTTGTCTTCTTGCTTTATTTCATTAAGTTGATCTGCAATCTCGATATCCTTTCTTCTGCTTGATGGATTCTGCTATTGATGCTTGTGTATGCTTTACAAATTTCTCATGCTGCGTGTTTCAGCTCCATCAGGTCATTTATGTTCTTCTCTAAATGGTTATTCTAGTTAGCAATTTGTCTAACCTTTTTTCAAGGTTCTTAGCTTCCTTGCATTGGGTTAGAACATGCTCTTTTAGCTTGGAGGAGTTTGTTATTTACCCACTTTCTGAAGCCTACTTCTGTCAGTTTGTCAAACTCATTCTCCATCCAGTTTTGTTCTCTTGCTGGCAAGGAGTTGTGATCCTTTGGAGGAGGAGAGGCATTCTGGTTTTTGGAATTTTCAGCCTTTTTGTGCTGGGTTTTTCCTCATCTTCATAGACTTATCTACTTTGGTCTTTGCTGTTGGTGACCTTCAAATGGAGTTTTTGCATGTTCATCTTTTTTGTTGATGTTGGTGCTATTGCTTTCTGTTTGCTTGTTTTCCTTCTAACAGTCAGGCCCTTCTTCTGCAGGTCTGCTGGAGTTTGCTGGGGGTCCACTCCAGACCCTGTTTTTCTGGGTATCACCAGCAGAGGCTGCAGAACAGCAAAGATTGCTGCCTGCTCCTTCCTCTGGAAGCTTTTTCCCAGAGGAGCCCCTACCAGCTGCCGGCTGGAACTCTCCTGTGTGAGGTGTCCGTCGACCCCTGCTGGGAGGTGTCTCCCTGTCAGGAAGCATGGGGGTCCGGGACCCTCTTGAGGAGGCAGTCTGCCCCTTATCAGTGCTCGAGAGCTGTGCTGGGAGATCTGCAGCTCTCTTCAGAGCTGGCAGGCAGGAACATTTAAGTCTGCTGAAGCTGTGCCCACAGCTGCTCCTTCCTCCAGGTGCTGTGTCCCAGAGAGATGGGAGTTTTACTTATAAGCCCCTGACTAGGGCTCCAGCTAGGACTTTCTACAGCTCAACTCAGCAGCTTTTTGACAGTTTCTTAGAATTTCTTAAATATTTTAAGAGCCAAGTTTTTTTTGTCCAACATGCTGAAAACAATGCAGTGTTCAGATTTAACAGAAAAGAGATTGTGGTCAGTTGAAAAGAAGACATTCATCTCCAAGGACATGATTTTCTTTATCTGTAATATTTTGTTTTAAAGTTGAAGGGGCTTTAAGTAAGTTTATGAGCTTTAAGTATCAGAGGGGAAAATGTATTTTGTTGAATTTCTGTTCCGTGTCCTTTTTTTTTCCAACATGAAATTGTAAGAGGTTTTCAGAATACTGGTGAAACTAGAGAACCAAATAGAGTGGTGGAAATAAATAGGCTTGGTCCTATGAGCTATTGCACTGTAAGAAAACTCATTATTTGTCCACAGTGGAAATGACTGTGGGAAAATAATGAGTGACATTTGCACTGAACTCTACAAAATGTTAGCCACAGAGCTCCAGACTTGTATATACAATTGGCTTTTTAATGTTTCCCCTTGGATATCTCAAAGGCATCACAACTCATCATACCAGAAACCATACTTGTGGTCTGTTGCCTCAAACGTATTAACCTGATGGGGTTTCTTATCTCATTGAATGGTACCACCTTTTCTCCAGTGAAATGTGGCAGAATATTGTATTTAAATGTGAAATTGTGCTTTTTCTTCATATGCTTTTCCCTCTTCACTTAAAAACAGTGTCACTCTGTGACACAGTTAGTGTCTGTCTATGTGACTCCAACCCTTAGGGACCTTGGCTGAGCCTAGAATCTAGGGCTGGTATTTGCAAATATCTTAAGTCACTGACAGAGGGAGGAGTTGAGGGAGAAAGCCATTTGAGACCAGGAAAGAGGAAAAAGAATGCCCCAATTAGGAAGGGAGAGAGAAGTCTAAGAGGGTCCCTTCAGGACACCTGTGTAGTGCTTCCATGGCTGTGTCCTGGGAGGTGGCTAGCCCTCAGGGAAATGACTGTATCAACACTGCATGGTGTCCCTAGGGAGGCTGGATGCAGCCCCATCAAAAGTTCCTGTAACCTGCAAGTAGTAATACTGTAGGAGCCAAGTGGATGAAGTGGAAAGGCCAGCTCAATGGTGATGTGGGCAGACAATCACTGAACCAGGAGCGGGGGTGGCTGAGACTTGACAGGACCTGGGGAAGAGGCAGAGGAAGGAAGTCTGAGTAGCCTGAAAGGCTTGGTTTTATAATTGAAATTCAATTTAAGAGAGTTATAAATGTGATGTTTCTCATGCTCCTACTGGTCAAATAACGCTTATACCCATTACATAGGCAAGCCAGAGTCCTTCTTACCACTTTTATCACCCTCGTGCCTCATAGCAAATACATCACCTGAAAGTGGGTATTCTACATCCTGAATCCATTGACTTCTTTTCATCTCTACTGATGCCACCCTAGTCAAATTTTCCATAAGTTCAAGCCTTACCAACTGTTAATTTTTTGTATCAAAGTGTATTTCCCTTAATTTTTTATATAAAATTGTAATTCCTTTGTTATTATGTGTTTGTCAAAACCCATAGAATGTACAACACCAAGAATGAACACTAACGTAAATGATGGGCTTTTGGTAATAATGATGTGCCAATGTAGCTTCACCAATTGAAACAAATGGACCACTCTGGGGGCTATGGGGGGTGCTGAAAATGGGAGAGGCTGTACACAATGGGGGAAGGAGGTACGTGGGAACTCTGTACTTTCTGTGCAATATATATATTTGAATATATATATATATATAAATATATGTATTTTAAACACACACATCTGATCATGCAAACTCTTGAATGGATTCCGAATATTATTAAAATAAAGGCCAGATTCTTTAACTTGAGCCACAGGTTTTGTATGGACTGCCTCCTGCCTACTTTCCAATCTTCCTCTCTCATCCTGATCACCCATGTTTTTCTGCTCTAGCAACTGCCAGTCCCAGGACCATTCCAGAGCTTATTCGTTCTACCTTGTTCTTCCTTGGGATGCTTATTCCCAAGGATTCCTGCTACCTTGGGATGCTTGTTCTAGTCCCTGTTGATTGATTATCTTCCCATTTTTTCTTTCTCAGGAAAGTCTTCCCAACCTCTTTGGTTATGCCAAATTATTTACTATCATATTATATGCCTCATGGCATCATGACCTTCTTCATAGCACCTATTGCAGTTATATTTTATTTTTTTATATGATCATCTGATTCATGTCTCTTTATCAATAGTCTTGTAAACTCCAGGAAGGCATGGATATTGCAAATCTAGAACTTAGCTCACGTCATATACCTGGCTCTATGTTCGGGATTTCCAAGGTCACTACCAGGTTCAGTGATCATTAGAAAGACAGACTCAGAATGGAAACATATTCATATCTGTGAATTATCATGGTGAAAGGATAAAAATCAGAATCAGCTAAGGCAAAAGGCACATGGAGCCAAGTTTGGGGAAAAAAACAAGAGCAAGCTTCCAGGAATTCTCCCCCAATGGAATCCCACAGGATGTACTTAGTTCTTCTGGTGGTGAGATATGTGAGCTTCTACCAGGGAAGCTCATTAGAGACTTAGTGTCCACAGTCTCTAGTGAGCTGGTCACTTAGGCATTGTATTAATCCATTTTCACACTGCTATAAAGATACTACCTGATACTGGGTAATTTATGAAGAAAAGAGGTTTAATTGGGCTGGGCGCGGTGGCTCACGTCTGTAATCCCAGCACTTTGGGAGGCTGAGGCGGGCGGATCACGAGGTCAGGAGATGGAGACCACCCTGGCTAAAATGGTGAAACCCCATCTCTACTAAAAATACAAAAAATTAGCCGGGCGTGGTGGTGGGTGCCTGTAGTCCCAGCTACTCGGGAGGCTGAGGCAGGAGAATGTGAACCCGGGAGGTGGAGCTTGCAGTGAGCCGAGATCGCGCCCCTGCACTCCAGCCTGGGCAACAGAGCAACACTCTGTCTCCAAAAAAAAAAAAAAAAAAAAGGTTTAATTGATTCACAATTTCGTATGGCTAGAGAGACCTCAGGAAACTTAACAAACATGGCAGAAGGTAAAGGGGAAGCAAAGCACATTTTACATGGCATCAGTAGAGAGAGAGTGAGCAAAGGAGAAGTGCCACAGTTCAAAACTATCAGATCTCGTGAGAACTCACTCACCATCATAAGAACAGCAAGGAGGAAACTGCCCCCGTGATCCAATTACCTCCCACCAGGTCCCACCCTCAATACACGGGGATTATAATTTGAGATGAAATTTGGGTGAGGACACAGAGCCAAACCGTATCAGGCATGTACCTAAATTAGACTCCCAGAAGAGGTTGTTCAGCATAAACCACATCGTGTGTAACATTTAGGTAGAGTAAGCCACTTTTTCATTTAGAGAAAGTTTTGCATCAGTGTAGGGAAATGTTTATCAGTCAGCTTCTTAAGTACCAGGCAAAGACCAACCTTATAAGCAGAATTTTCTAAGGATGGGTAGTCAGTCTCCAGACTGCTATGCTAACTCTTTTCTGCACATAAATATTTGCCCTTTTCTGCAAATATATATTTGTTGAATGAATAAGTACACTTAGCATCAGTGAGGATTTGCCATACATTAACAAAATACTGAATTAAATTAGCCCTATGAAGCCTTCCCTGATTAATTATAACTTGCTGTGCCTCTGCCTCCACCTTTTTTTCTTTTAGTCACTGTTTACTACTCATAAGAGGCTTTGCTAGGTTCAAAACAACAAATGAGACATTGTCCCTACCCTTCAGGTGTTACCACAACACTTACATTTGGACCATACAGAGTTTATATTTCACATTTTACTTTTTTGTTGATGTCATATCACTTGAAATGTAATTAATGTAAATCCTCTTCATGTAAAATGTGTTATGACTAAGTAAAATGAGAGTTTTGATCCCTGAAATGAATCTTACCTTTCTTGAAGTTTTCACCTATAATGTCAAAGAAGATAAAAAACATTATCCCACATTTACTAAGTTTTTAATTTCCACCACTGCATTATAAGGCTCTTATGTCAGGGCTCCCTTGACTTGGCTGTAGAACCACATCAGGGCTTTGTAGGAAGCTGCCTCTCCCTGCTAAGGAGCAGGATTTTTCACCCTTTGACAGTCTATTAATTGTACTATCTCTTATGCCAGTGGCTATATTAGTCCATTTTCATGCTGCAGATGAAGACATACCTGAGACTGGGTAATTTACAAAAGAGAAATGTTTATGGACTTACAATTCCACGTGGCTGGGGAGGCCTCACAATCATGTCAGAAGGTGAAAGTCACATATCTCACATGGCAGCAGACAAGAGAAGAGAGCTTGTCCAGGGAAACTCCCGTTTTCAAAACCATCAGATCTCATGAGATTTGTTTGCTATCATGAGAACAACATGGGAAAAACCCTCCCACATGATTCAATTGTCTCCCACTGCATCCCTCTCACAACAAGTGGGAATTATGGGAGCTACAAAATGAGATTTGGGTGGGGACAGAGAGCCAAACCATATCAGTGGCCAAATACACAGCACTATCCTGTCTTGGGGTTGATTCCTCAGCACTGTGAGGAAATTTAAATGGTGAAGAGCTCTTAACATCAAACTAGTAAAATTACCTTTAGTGTTTTTTGTGCTCTACAACTATACGACTCACAAAGAGTCATGGGCTTGTGTGTAATTCTCTATGGCTTCTCTTCTAAATCGAATCTGCATTTGTCTCAGGATGTCTACTGGCTTTGTTAAATTTCTTCAGTTCTTTGAATCACTTAAAAGTGTATGATTACCTGATATGCAGGTAATTTTTAAAGTTGTTGTCTGTAAGATTTCCTTTTGTGAGGGAGAAAGAGCATCCATTTTCTCCTTGGCATCTTGTAAAGTCTCAGCCATGAAAGAACCCATCCAGGGCTCTATATTGCAGATCCCCATTATCTGCAGCTAGAGACTCTTGACTCTCCCATGTGCTCAGCTTGGTCCTGGGCCCTGGGCCAGTTAGATCCTTAAGGAGAACCGAAGGATTATGTACTTGGAAGCTTAGATGACTCAGGTCAGCTAGTTGCTCTTGTTTAGATTGGTACACCTTCTAATACCTGAACTCTGCCTCACTCCTTAGCCAGGCATTCTTGTAAACAAGACAATAATTTGTTCTCATCAAACTTACAGTCTAGCCAAGGAAACTGACAATGGCTGGTAATTAATGAATGGCTTAGTATGTGCCAAACACTGTTTCGAGTAGTTTGGTCATTTAATTCTGATAACAACCTTATGTGATAAATGCGATTAATATCCCTTTCTAACAAATATGTGAAACTGGAGCACAGACAGGTTAAGTAACTCACCCCTGGTTACTACTGTAAAATTTCTTGTTGTATTAGATTCCTGTGGCTTCTGTAACAAATGACCATAAGCTTGGTGGATTAAAGCAACAGGAATTTATACTCCCACAGCTCTGGAGGCCAGTAGTTCAAGATCAGTATCACTGGGCTGAAATCAAGGTGTTAGTGGGTCCACTCTCCTTCTAGAGGCCCTCAGGAAGAATCTGTTCCTTGCTGCTTCCAGCTCCTGGTGGCTGTTGCCATTCCTTGATCTATGGCCACATCACACCTATTTCTGTCTCTGTGTCATGCTGCCTTTTCCTCTTCTGTGTAAAATCTCCCTTTGTCTCCCTCGTATAAGGATATATGTGGTTATATTTAGGGTCCACTCAGCTAATCCTGGGTAATCTTCCCATCTCAAGATCCTTACTTCAATCACATCTGCAGAGACCCCACCACCTGCCCCGGGCAACTTTATTTTGCCATTCACAAATTTTTGTTTTCCATTGCAGATATCTTGGAAGAACATTTTCTACCCACTGCACTAGTGCTTGCCCATATTACATTCTTCCCTTCTACCTAGGCATATGGAGGACTGCACTTCTCAGGCCTCTCATGATTAGGGGAAGTCATGTGGCTATTTCTAGGTAATGCAATGTGAATGGAAGTGAGGAGGATGCCCTTTGGCAGAGGCCATGTACAGACACTCCCTGTGTGCTCTGGCTTCTTTGGCAATCATGGTTGCCGATGCTGATATGGAGGAGCCACAGATGAAAGCATTCTGGATTGCCAGGCTACCACACTGAACATGGGCCTTGGAGAGTGGACTTTATGGGCAAGGAATAAACTTTTTTTTAGGCTAAATCACTGGGATTTTCCAGTTAATATGGTGCTGCTGTATAGCGTAACCTAGCCTCACTAACACGGCATCTAACAATTAGGTTTCAGAGATATAATTTAAATCCAAGCAGTCTGACCCTAGAAACAGGCTCTAAAATTACTCATAAAAGTAATTAACTGGAATTAAATATTGTAATTATTGAGAGAATATACCATAGGACCTGAACTTAGTTCTGGGAGATGTATGTTGACTTTCTCTCAGGGTCTTAATCTGTGTCTTGAAGGATGCCAGGAATGACTAGGTTAAAGGTGGTGGAAGTGGTGAAGGCCAGGGCATCCCAAGCAAAGAAAACACTAGTTGCAAATGACTTCCTCTGGAATGTGTGAAAATAAACAAATGTGGCTGAAAAAGAAAAGTAAGCTGGAGAGCTGTACAAAATAAATCAGAGAAGCAGGAAGGGATCTCTTGGTACATAGGCCTGCCCAGTGATCTGCTTAGCATACAGGCTTCTTAAAACAGGAGTGTCATCATCCTACCAGGGAAATGGTTCTCTGCCAGAAACTGAATGCCAAGGGGTCTTATCTACTCCTGTCCTCCTTTTCTCTTGCCCTCTGCTCCTCCCTTCTCTTCTTCTTTCCATTTAATTATGTCCCCAGCTGAAATTTACACACTGATTATAAAATTTACATAGAAGGGCAAATAAGCTAAAATTGCTAAAATGAATTTTTAAAATGTGTTCTTAATTTGGAGGACTCCAGTACAGGATTTCAGTGTTTCAAGATTTGTTATAAAAGTGTGGTATTAGTGAATGGATGGACATATAGGTAAATGGAACAGAATAGAATTCAGAAATATGCCACACATATACGGTCAATTGATTTTCAACCACAGTATAGAAAGAATAATCTTGTCAACAAATTGTGCTGAAACAACTGCACTGCCATATACCAAGGCATGAACTCTAACACATACTTCACACTTTATGCAAAAATGAACTGAAAATAGGTGCCAGACCTAAATGTAGAACCTGACTTAACTTCCAGAAGAAAACACAGGGGAAAATATTTGTGACCTTGGATTAAGCAAAGACTTTCTTAGGTATGACACAAATGTCAAAATTAGAGAACAAATTGTTGAGTTGCACCTCATCAAAATTAAAAAAACTTTTCTTATTCAAAGAAACTGTTGAAAGAATAAAAAGACAAGTCAAAGATTGGGATAAATATTTCCATATCACATTTTTAACGAAGGACTTGTATCCAGACTATATAAATAACTTTCAAAATTTGATAATGAGACAAAACAGCCAAATAAAATTTTTGCAAAAGATCTGAACAGATACCTCACCAAAGAAACTCGGTATATAACAAATAAGCACATAAAGCAAGCAGGAAATGCAAATTATAGCCACAGTATGATACCATTAGTAGCCTACTGGGAGAGTTACATATATTTTAAAAAATGCATAATACCAAGTTAGTTTGCAAGAACGTGGACCAAGCAGAATTCTCATACACTACTGGTGGGATTGCCAAATGGTATGCCCACCTTGAAAAACAGTTTAAAATTTTCTTATAAAGTTAAACATATCTCTGCCATACAAGTCAGCAATCCCACCCTTGGTATTTTTTTTTTTTTTTCAAAGAATTACATATGTTTTAGAAGCTATGAAACTTGTAACTTCTCCTGGTTCTATAGAAAGATCTTTTCTCATCTTGATGGGAGGAAGTGAAGCCATTGTTATTTTGATGTTTCCTTTAAAGTGAAATGTAAGGCTTATGTCAGCAATCTTATGCCCTTCCACTTGCAGCAGGCAGCTTTCATTTTAATGCTAATAATGCTTATATTTCATTGCTTCTTCAACTGAGTGTCTCCCTGTGAGGACAAAAACTAGTCTTTTAAAAAAATATGCAAGCAATTCATGAAAATGTTTTTGTAGTTAAAATTACATAGTATAAAACCTAAATATCCTTTACATGCCTTGCCCTCATCCAATCCTACTTCCCAAAGAGAGCCACTGTTAACCATTTGTTTCTATCTTTCCAGATCTTTCTCTGTATTTGCATGTATGTATACTTGAACCATTTAAATGGTCGTATTTTCTGTTCATAAATAATAATGCCATGTATATTGCTCTGTAAATTTTTTATTTAACAATGTATGTAGGATAACTTTCCAACCAATACATATAGATCTGCTTCATTCTTTTTAATTCTTAGGTAATTTTCATGCATCTATAATTTAATTAACCATGCACCAATTGATAAACATTCAGGTTATTTCTATTTTTTCCCACTACATATAATACTAGAACACATATCTACATACAAAAATTTTTTTGTTACTTAGGTAAATATTTCTGTGAGATAGATTCTTAAGAGTAGAATTGCAAGAATTCACTTGATACTGACAAATTGTTCTCTTTGAGTCTGTACCAATTATATTCCCCATTAATAATAATTTCTGTTGAATTTATTACCAGGAGGAGGATTGTAGGGTCCTAGGTTATACATATATTTATTTGAATTTATGGATGAGCTAAACCATATTCCCAAGTCGTTGCACCAGTTTACACTCCCACCATCAGTATGTGAGGGTTTCAGTTGTTCTACAATCTTGCCAATATTTGGTATTGTCACTTGCTAAAATTTTGGCCACTATTGTGGGTATGTTGTGGTATCTCTCTTTTATTTTAATCTGCAGTTTCCTATTGACTTAAGTGGTTAACCACCTTTCCAAGTGTTCACTGGGCAGTTGGACACCTTTCCTTGTAAAGTTTCTGTTTAAATTTTTTGCCCATTTTAGAAACAAATCAGGCTGTCTTATTCTTATTGATTTGTAGGATACAAATCCTGCTGGGTGTTGCATAAATTCTCTATTCTTTTTGTTGCTGTTTTTACTGTTTTAATGGTATTTATTAATGAACAGAAGTTTTAAATTTTAATGTAACCCAATTTATCTATCTTTTCCTTTGTGAATAGTGCTATTTTTGCCACATTTAAGAAATCTTTGCCTACCCTCAAGGTGAACAAAGACATTTTCTGTTATCTTTTATTAATAGAGATTTTCTTGTTTTATTTTTTACATTGAGATCCACAATCCACCTGGAGTTAATTTCAGAGTATGGTATAAGCTAGGAATCAAAATTTATTTTATTCTCCATGAATATCTGATTCAGCCAGCACCATTTGTTGAAAAGATCATTTTTCACCCACTGTTCTGTAGTGTAATTTTAAAAAATAAATCAAGTGACTGGATGTTTCTCAACTCTCTTATCCATGCTGTTGGTTTATTTCTCCAACCTTATGACATTATCACACTTTCTTAATTACTGAGCTGTATAGTAAGTCTTGATATCTTGTAGTGTATGTCCTCTAATTTTGTTCTTCAAAATTGTCTGATCTATAGTTGGCACTTTGCCTTTTTCGTATAAATTTTGGAAAAAGCCTTTAATTTTCCACAAAAAAAATCTTTTTGGAATTTTGTAGCAGCCCTAGTGAGATATAATCCACATATAATGAAGTGTACTTATTTAAAGGGTAATTTTATAAGTGCTGACATGTGTAATAATCTGTGAAGCAATCACCAGAATCACGATAATGAATATATCCATCACCCAGCACTTTCCTTGTGCCCCTTGATAATTCCTCCATCCTATTCTTCCCAGTGCCCTATTGGCAGAAAACTGCTGCTATTATGGTTTACATAATTTGTTTGCATTTTATATAATTTTATATAAATGGAATCATACAGTATTTACATTTTTCTTGGTCTGACTTCTTTCACTCAGCATACTTATTTAAGTTTCATTCATTCTGTTTTTTATCAATAGTTCATTCTTTTTTTATTGTGGAATAGCATTTCATTGTATACATTTGTTTATTTACCTGTTGATGAACATGTTGGTTGGCTTGTTTTTGGCTATTATAAATAAAACTGCTAAGTATGTTCATGTGCAAGTCTTTTATGGACTTATGCTTTTATTTCTCTTGAGTAAAATACTCAGAGTGGAAATGTTAGGCCATTAGCAGATACATGTTTAACTATTTAGGAAGGTGCCCAGCTGTTTTCCAAACTGGTTGGCCATTTTACATGTTAAGCAGAATGCTGGTATTAGTTATTAATCCCAGTGGAGGACTCTAAAAACATCTACTCATTGTATCTTGGCATCAGAGTTGGCAAGGAAAACAGAACACGGTCAAGCACTGAATAGAACAACACTTGACTTACATTGAGAAGAAACAGAGCAAGATCAGCTTTAATATTATGTGTTAATTTCCCATGGCCAGTGGGTATCTCCCAGCAGCAGATGCAGGGCAATTTTCTCATATGAATCCCTCTTGTGCCACAGTAGAAGGACCCTGTCTCCTCCCACAAGGAAGACAGATATAGCAATGGGATTGGCCGGATGCCATGTGACATACATGCTTAAGCATAGCAAAGGATCACACACTGAGCTTGCAAAAGTGAAAGGCATTCCTACAGAAGGGAATAAGAGTAGCACAGGCCTTGTGAGCTCTTTACGTCTTGGTATCTCGTGTGGCCAAGTGCGAGTCAAAAGGCTATGTGCATGAGACTACCATTCCCAACATTACATCTCACCAATGGTGTGTGAGAATTCCAACTGCTCAGCATTTTCAACTGGAACATGGTATGGTCAGTATTTTTAATTTTAGACATTCTAATAGATGTGAAGTGATTTTAATTTGCATTTTCCTAGTGACTAATGATGTTAAGCATCTTTTCATGTGCTTACCTGCCATCTGTATATATTTTTGGGTAAAGTGTTTATCCAGTGTTTTTTCCAGAGTTTACTGGGTTGTTAATTTTCTTACTGTTGAGTTTCGAGAGTTCATTATATATTGCGGATACAAGCATGTATTATCAGATGCATGCTTTGCAATTATTTCCTCCCTGTTTGTGACTTTGTTTTCTTAAGAAAATCTTTGTTTGTTTGTTTGAGAAAGTGATTTACTCTGTCACTCAGGCTGGAATGCAATGGCAGGATCACAGCTCACTGCAGCCTCGACCTCCTGGGCTCAAGGGTTCCTCCAACCTCAGCTTCCCTAGTAGCTGGGATAAGAATGCCTTTTGAAGGACACAAGTTTTTAATTTTGGTGGAATCCAATTTATCATTTTTTTCTATTATCGATTATGCTTTTGGTTTTGTATCTAAAAAAAATTTGCCCAATCCAAAGTCACCAAGTTTTTTTCTACATTTTCTTCTAGAAGTTTTATAGTTTTCAGTTTTACATTTAGGCCTATGATCCATTTGAAATAATATTTGTAGATAACGTGAGGTATGGAACAAGTTAACTTTTTTCTACAAATGGTTATCCAACTTGTCTGTCTTGACACCAATGCGAGACTCTTTTAATTACTGTAGCTCTTAAGTAAGTCCTGAGATCATGTAATGTTAGTCCTCAACTTTGTTCTCTTATTTTCAATGTCATTTTGGCTATTTTAAGCCATTTGCATTCCTGTATTGATTTTAGAGTAAGCTTATTAATTTCTAGGACAAAAGCATGCTGGAATTTTGACTGTGATTACATTGATTTTATAGATCAATGTAGGGAGAATTGACATTTGAACAAAATTGAATCTTCTGATCCATAAACATGGTATATCTCTCCATTTATTTATGTATCCTCTAAAGTATTTCAGCAGTATTTCATAATTTTTATTATACAAGTCTTACACACTTTTGACAGATTTATCCCTAAATATTTTATATATTTGATGTTATTATAAATGGTATTGTTTTATTCATAATTTCAATGTGCTTATTGCTACTATATGAAAAAATTATTGATTTTTATATTGATCTTTTATCCTGCAACATTATTTAAGTACGTATTAGTTGTAATAGGTTTTCTGAGGATGCCCTGGGATTTTCTGCATAGATAATCATATTGTCCATGAATATAAAGAGTTTTACTTCTTCCTTTACAATCTAGATGTCTTATATTTTTTTTTCTTGCCTTATTGCACTGCCTAGATTCTCTAGTGCAGTTTTGAATAGAAGTGATGAAAGTGAGCATTGTTTCTTTGTTCATGGTGTTAGGAGGAAAGCATTAACTTTTCACTATTAAGTGTAATGTTACCTGTATACTTACAGGTAAAAATACTTTTTGTAGATGCCCTGAAAGCCTAGAGAAGAGTCTCTCCTATTCCTAATTTTCTGAGGGTTTTTGTAAAAATCAGCAATAGATACTGGGTTTTGTTAAATTCTTTTGCTCTATCTATCAAGATAATCATGTAGTTTTTTGTTTTCAGTTTGTTAATATGGTGAATTACATTGGTTTTCATTTGTTGGAATTTTGATCAGGATCTTATTAAATCTTTTAAAAAATAAAGATTAATATCTTTACAGAAATAAGTTCTTCAACCCATGAATCTTGATAATGTTTTATATTTTCTGTATAGAGGTCTTGCACATCTTTCTTTTCCTTATTTATTTATTTAGAACCCTTTAAGAGTAGTTTGCCTACATACATGTTTGAAAACATGTGTACATATTTTTGACACTCCTTCCACTAAGTGGTAGGGTTTATGTCTCCTTCCTTTGAATCTGGGTTGACCTTAGTAACTTGGTTTTAATAGGTCAGAAAAGGTCAGATCTCATCATGAACATTTTCTTTTAAAATTTTGACATGAAATTATATTTTATTAACTCAGCCTCTACCATGGTGCCTAGCACTAGACTCTATAAATACTTTTAAACAGTAGCTTTTTTTTTTTTTTTTTTGAGACAGAGTTTGGCTCTTTCACCCAGGCTGGAGTGAAGTGGCACGATCTTGGCCCACTGCAACGTCTGCCCCCCAGGTTCAAGCAATTCTCCTGCCTCAGCCTCCCGAGTAGCTGGAATTACAGGCACTGGCCGTCACGCCTGGCTAATTTTTGTGTTTTTAGTAGAGACTGAGTTTTACCATGTTGGCCAGGCTGGTTTCGAACTCCTGACCTCAGGTGATCCACCCGCCTCAGCCTCTCAAAATACTGGGATTACAGGTGTGAGCCACCGTGCCTGGCCAACAGTATCTTATTACACCTTTAGGGATGTGATAAGACTGAAAGTAGTAGAATGGGGTGGGGGTGGGGAGGGTGGGAGAGGGAAGTGGAAGCAAACCCTGTGAGGGATATATTTCCCTTCCAACTCTACGTATGGGAAAACTAAGGCCTAGAGAGGTAAGTTACTTATCCATGTAAGAGGCAGAACCAAACCTCAAGCCTCCAAGCCATAACATGTTCTTCCTTCTTCACTATGCTTCTTAGAAGCAGGCACAGCATTTCACCAAGAAGTATAGGAATTACTATATTATATATTTCTAGAGGACAGGGAGTTAATTTAAATCTCAAAATATGCATGATACATTGTGGAATATGACAATCTGTCATTTTTTAAAAAGATAAAACAGAATTCAGAGAAATATCATTCTTACGGCTACATGTTTTAGACTATACCTCTTAAATTATCAAATTACATCCTCTGTTTTGGTAGGAATTTTCAAGATTCATTATGTTGTGCCTTATTACTTCTGATCCAGGGAAACAATGAAGGCTTTTTGTGCCATAATTTGCAGGCCATTGATGTATGCAATTCTAAAAATTACTAATTCTCCTTTGGTAGTTGGTATATGCCAAACACTTTGCTTAGCACTTTGCCTCATATATACTTACAGTATTCCAACAAAGTAGGCAATATTACATCCTATTCTAGGTCAGGCACCTGAACCTTAGAGAGGATAAGCAATTTGCCTACATTTTCACAGGTAGAGCAGAGATTCAACAAAGGTCTGTTTATCTCCAAGGACTGTGCTCTTAACTCCTTAGTTTAAGCAAAGAATTTTTTGAAGTTGCCTGTATAATTCATGGTGGGAATATTAGTTGTGGATATGGATAATACATGATCAGGCTTAAAACTCGTTTAATTCTGAATTCAAAGGTAGCTGAAAATGGGACCATTCCATACCAGTTGGATCTCTGATCTCCCTGGATAGAATTCATAATTGCTTCAGAGTGTAATTCTCAGCTCTTCTCTGATTGGCTGGGTTGTCTGCAGTGAGGTACCATACCTATGTGCACATCTGCTCAGCCATCTGTAGTGTAAAATGTTGTCAATCATTGTTACCTCAGGGAAACCATGAGATTTTAGTTTTGGAAAATTGCTGTCCTATAGAAGGATAAAACAGGATGCCAGTGGTAAAGATGTTTGAACATCATCTCTTACTTTAGATGAATTCCTAGATATATGGATTGTGGACTTATAATTTTAAAGCACATAAATAATCTCCAAGCCTATAGAAGTAATTCATTTTATGTCTACTGGATTACTAGGTCATAAGTTTTTCTCCTTGGTGTAAACTATATTATCAAGTCTAAGAGTCATGGTGTCTCAGACCAAATGAAACTGAAGAGATATAATAAATCATTCAAGAAAACAAAATACCACATATTCTCACTTATGTGTGGGAGCTAAACTTTGGGTACATGTGGACATAAAGATGGGAACAATAGAAACTGGGGACTACTAGAGGAAGGAAGGAGAAGAGTGGGCAAGGGCTGAAAAACTTGCCCTTGCTGAGTACCTGAGTGATAGGATCATTCATACCCCAAACCTCAGCATCATGCAATATACCCAGGTAAAAAACCCAGCACATGTACTCCCTAAATCTGAATTAAAAGTTAAAAAAAAACAAGGGCAAAGAAAAATGATCTGTTCCCTAGAGATGAATATAATGTACTGTGGAAGTTACACAAGTAAGCCAATGTTGAAAAATGAAAGGTAAGGACTATACTGATACCCATTTCCTGGTTTTAATGGTGTTCTACAGTAATGAAAATTGATGTGTTTGGGGGAAACTGAATAAAAGGTACACAGGATCTCCTTGTACACTTTTTTTTGAAATTTCCTGTGAATCTACATTAGTTCAAAATAAAATGATTCATATTGTCTTTAAAAAATACAAAATAAATAAATTGTTCAACCCCATTGTTTGGGCACTCTGTCAGTTCTCTGATTTTGGTAGTTGTTGTGGGAGGAATGAGGGGTGGTGGAAAGGGGTATAATGAACCATAACCCTGCTGGTAATTCAGCAGTTTCTCAAAAAGGCCACCAGCTCACTCAGGTGATAAGTCTACTAGTTGGTGATTTATTTTTTTAAAAAGCCTGAGACTCTTTCATATACCTTCAGCCCTCATCACCTCTACTGTTACCAAGCCAAATTACTTTGAATAACTTTACTTCCCATATATATCCAATCAACACAGACTGACTTTTCAGATTTATTTGAGCCCTGTATCACCTTTGCACAAATGCTGAGAATAAGTGTCCACAGGGAGATTTTATTTTAACTTCTAGTCATGACTCTCAAAACTGAAGGAACTGAACAGGGTCGTCAGGAGACCTATGGCTACTTCTCATTCCAGATTTACACTTTGGGCTTGTTTGGATGTATTTTCATTATTTCCTACTACCTTTGTGGACAGAATTCACAGATTGTGGTTATATAAATGGAAACTACTTTTGGTGACATAATGTGACCTTCCTTCTCACACTTGGCTCTTTTCCCATTCTCAATGAATGGGGCTGTCATCTGCCCAGTGGCTTACGCCAGAAACCTAGGAGCTATCCAGATATCATCTGCTCTCCCTGGCTATATTTAATCCATCACCAAGTCCTTCTAATTAGTTCTCTTAAATGGCCTCCCTTGTACCCCCTTGCTCTCCTCTCTTATCAGTATTCTCCACACTATAGCCAAAATAATACTCATAAAGTTATCTGTTCATGTATTAATTAACCTCACAAATATGTTTAGTGCCTGTTATGAGCAAGGGATACAGTGGGGAATGAGACAAACTTCTTCCCTCATGAAAATGTAAAACAAATGGTATTGGGCTCCTCCCCTGCCCACCTTCCTGCCATTTTATGTTAAAACCATTTGATAGATTTCTAGCTGTTCTTAGGTTAACATCTTTCCAATGTCCTTCATAATCAGGTCTCTCTCTATCCCTATAGCCTCGCCTTTTGTTAGCATTCATGTCACTCTAACCACCCTGACCTTGTTTCTGTTCTTTAATTATGCCACTTGCTCTGCCACCTCAGGACCTTTGCATGTGCTGTACATTTGGACTAGAATGCTTTTAGCCTTTGCCACTTCTCATCAACTCTCAGATACCAGTCAAATGTCTCTTCCTCAAGAAGCCATCCAGATTCAACAGACTGAGGTCACATTATTAAATTCTATGCATCCATGGTACAATAAAATTTTTTTGTGTTGTAGTCATCAGAATTATTATTGGAATTAGTTGATTAATGACTTAATGCTGATCAGTGCATTGTGCTCATGAGTCTCAGAGAAAAAAAACAAAACAGATGTCAGAATCATTACCTAACAGGAATTGGGAGGAAGGCAAGGAGGCTCATGTTCCTTTCATGTCTTAGTAAAAATCTGTATTGGCTAAGATTAGTTTGGGCTGTGACTAAAACTTCTCATGACAGTGGCTTGAACGAGACAGAAGTTTGTTTCTCTCTGATGTCAACACTGGGAGGGAAAGAGTCCAGAGTTGTGTGCTGACTCTGCCCCACAGAGCAGGTTTCTAACCTAAGAAGGCCTTGGGAATCCAGGCTCGACCTTGTAGCTCTGCCTTGCATAGCCTTCATTGTCATGGTCACTTCGTGGCCCAAAATGGCAGATTCAACAGATTGAGGTCACATTATTAAATTCTATGCATCCATGGTACAATAAAAATGTTTTTGTGGTAGTCATCAGAATTATTATTGGAATTAGTTGATTAATGACTTATGCTCCATGGGTTCCCCACCAGTCTTTAAGCTCTGTGGGTTTTTTTCTCACCATTTGTATCCCCAGAGGCCAGCAAACTTCATGGGATAAAAGTGCTTAAAATGATATTTTTAAAACAAATGATTGCTTGAACAAATGGACAGACTGAGTCTGAGTAGCTGCGATCATGGTGCTGCACCCATTTGTGTGAGCATGGTAGTATGATGGAGGACCCTTGAGGATAGAGAGATGTAGTGGCTGGTGGTGCCCAGAGTAGGGCATAGTCTAGCAGTGGCTCTGCTTTCAAGATGGCACTGTGCTGTAGCAGCTTGAGTCACGGAGACAGAGGGTACACAACATGTGCTCTTGTTTTGCAGCAATGTAGCCATGTGAATTCCAGACATCTTCCCAAACTGGGCTCAGGGCCTGTAAGGACTAGTGGGATTCTCTTGCAGCAAGAACTGCAGGTGTCTTCAGTGGAAACAGGGGCTGCTGGGGACCTCCTGCTTACCTTTTCTCTGCAAGGGAATGTCCTTCTTGGCTCTGAGCTGATCCCAGTGGAGGAGACAAGGTGGTAGAGGCAGGATGTTTTATTCTTTTCTCTGTGCTGCCATACTGGGTTTCTGTGCTCTGTGGGGATTTCTCCACAGCCTTGCTGAACTCTAGTGCTCTCCTTCAGAAACTCTATTTGAATTTTAGTTGCTTATTCATTGTTTCTTTATTTTTCTGTGTTGGCATGGGTACCAGGCACCTGTAGTCAATCATCTTGCTCTTGGATATATTCTTGTTTATAGATTTTTCAATAACTCTGAGAGATAAAATATTTTGGAAAAGAAATTTAAATCTATAGTGTTGGGAAAATACTATAGCTTTTGATCACTGAAAAGTCATTGTTACTTTCAGTAACAATCTTTGAAGTGATTTTTTTAAGATTTAAGAATTGGTATTGAGTTAATAGGAACTTGACATTTTCTCGAGAATATTTTATTTGCTACTGTAAGGTGTTCCTGTCGTAAATAATTTCATGTGTTGTAACATCTGCTTTAGTTTATGTCCAAACATTGAAAAAGCTAATTTCTTATCCTTTTGCAAACAAGTCAGGAAATACCCTCTCCATGACCTCATCTGCCATGGACAACCTTTCCTCTGGTCTTGGGGAGTGTTAGGCAGAATTTAATGCCTGTGCTTGAGTAGTATAGTATAAACAGCAACAAATCCTTATGGATTGATTGATTATTCCTGAAACCTCTAATATAGTCAGAACAGTTAAATTATGTTCTGCACTTTGGTTCAATGCTTACTAAGTCTAGTTCATGGCTTTTAAACACTTGTTTCCTATTTAGATTCTTAGCCCAGTGCATTAGAGCAGAGAATCTTGAACTTTAAAGTGCACATAAACTGCCTGGAGGTTTTATTAAAATTTAGTTTCTGATGTAGTAGCTCTGGGGTGGGGCTTGAGTGTCTTCATTTGTGGCAGGCTCCCAAGTCAAGGACTACACTTTGAGTAGCCAAGGCCCTAGATTCTGAGAGGAGAAATATACCAAAAGCTGTGTTGTAAGGAACTGGGACAGGTTATCAAGGGACTTGTTGATTCTTCTTCCTTGGAGAATTTATGCATTAGCTATATGACAGTCTGACAGAAATGTTTTAGATGCACCTTTCTCTGGAGGTTGGGTTAACTAAATGACCTCTGACATTTTATCACTCTCCCTGTAGTTCTGTGATTAGATTACAAACTACTGTGGGAAGTGTTCCATAAACATTTATGTGCCCACACAGTACACAGCATTCTACCAGGTTGTTGACTAATTTCAAATCAATAGATTTCCAATATTGTAACATTTTTTGTTAAGAGTTCACTGTGATATTAACTGGCTGAGTGAAAGGTAAAACCTCTATGAAATTTTGTGATTTTATTTGACAGTAACATTTATTTTACATTAAAAATTGACTTTATAGTATTGAGTAAAATGTGTTTTTAGATGTATAATAAAGTATCTGTGACATGTGAAAATATTAATGCATATCTATATGTTAGCATTGTAATTGACACAGAGGCAAAATGTCCAAAGAGCAAACTCTTAAAAGTATCAAACAGAAAACAGCATAATATATGCAAGTATACCATAGAATTAATAACAAGGTGATATATAACTGATCACTCACTGTAAGTTACTTCTCTTACCCCTCCGCAATTTGTATCCTCCCTCAACCTAATTTATCCAGAATCAGGGTATTGCAGAGAGCTGATACAAGAGAATTCCAGTTTTCATCATTGATGAATAATATTGATGACAGAAATGTATAGTGGCATAGGAAGAGAGATAACAAAGGATAAATCCTTTTCCTCCTTAAGAATTTCAAATAATGTTGGAGAAAATATGTGCTTATATGAAACCACTTGTGAACAATTTAAAATAATACAGTACAGTGGTTCTCAAAATTTGGTCAGTATCAGAAACACCTGGAGAACTGGTAAAAATACAAAAATCCAGGACTTCCCCTACTTCAGTGAGCCTGTGTTCTTGATTGTCTCTCAGGGAGGATTCTGATAAGACTGTGAACCACTAGTATAATAAATACTTGGTTGCTAATTTACAAGGCAATTGAGATTCGAGAGACAGATGGGTTAGGACAATGGGAGGAGGCTTTGTGGGGGAAGGCTTTTTTGAACAGTATGGGTAGACATGGAAGCAAGAAGAAGCCTAACTTGTTAGGAAAAGAAAGACCTACATGTCTGCAGTAAAGGGCACAGGTGAAAGTGGAAGAGATGAGGTGAGAGAGATGGGCCAGAGAGTGAAGGGCATGGTCTGACCTGCAGGTTATAAAGATTGCTGTGCAATTTTGTGCCTAGAAATAGGGAGCCAGGTTAATATTCTGTGGATACTGGTTGGGCAAGAAAGAATAAAATCATGAACCAAGGCTGTGAGAAGAGAAAGGAAGAGAGTGGGAGATAAAAAGGAGTCAGTGCAGTATGGAGGGAAATTGCCCAGGCTCCCAAGTGGAACAGACCTGAGTTCAAATTCTTTCTTTGTTAAAAATTAACTGTGTGGCCTTGAGCGAGTGACTGAACCCCTCCAAAGCTGTTTCCTCATATTTAAAATGGGCACGATAAACACTCCAACATTCTTAGAATGTAGAAATTTATGAGATACTCTATTTAAAAGACCCGACACGGTGCCCAACATGTAGGATTTATTCAATAAATGGTTTCTATTATTATTAGAGAAAATACAAATTGGGGCTCATTGATGGCAATAGCGCATATACAAGGCAGAAGAAAAAAGGATGGTTTTAAGACAATGGTTCTTAGCTGATGATGATTCCTATCCCACAACCTCAGTGGATATTTGGCAATGAATGGAGACATCTTGGTTGTCACAACTAGAGGATGGGGTAGTGTTACTGGCAGCTAGTGTGCTGGAGACAAGTTCAATCCCTACAGTAAAAATTATCCAGCCCAAACTGTCAATGGTGCCAAGGCTGAGAAGCTCTTCATTAAGGTTTCTGCCATAGACTATGAAATTGATGGTAGAACATAGCACTGATAGAAAAACCAGGATGAGAAGCAAGTTAAGGGAGAAAATAATGACTTTGATTTTATACATATTGACTTTGTGGTACCTATGGGACAGTGTTGGCTATTTAGATCCTTGTTCCTCATCACTACCTCTGTTCTCTATCACTTTGTCTAGTGCCAGTTTATAGATTAAATGAAATGGTTAAGGATCTGGAAGAGGTGAATACAGTTGAAGAATAGTTATCTTGGGATGGGAAGAAAGAGACACAGAGAGAGAGAAGAGAAGAGAGAAGGAGGGAGGGAGGGAGAGATTGAGAGCTAGTGTAAGCATGACGGAGTGCACAAGCTGAGAGCAAGGGCAGGAGGTTCACAGAGAAAATGATTGGTGTTAGGAATTTCAAAGGTGGAATATTCCTGTTGATGACTTCTTAAACATGTGACACTGGCAAAAGGGTCGCTGATATGGAAGTAAGTTAAGATGGTTGGAGTTGAAAGTTGAGAAGGTTAAGTAGTTGTGAGGCTATGGTTCTTCTTCTTGAACACTTAAATCATCCTAGATAATAGTTGGCTGACGGGACAAGTGTGAGACAGTAATCCTGATGTCGTCTGTCCTTTTCCCCACACCAGGCTTGCCTCTTTCCACAATTTTCCAACTATTCTATAGGAAGGAATAATTGCTAATTTAATTGACTAGATAATCGGTGTGCCATGTTTTAATTGAGTAGTCACAAACCTATGCAATCTCTACTTCCTGCTTCAACAGGCTAAATGGACCTAAGCCAGTCTGTGTTGTTTTTTTTTTTTTCAATTTTATGTGGCTAGCTAGGAAAGTCAGATATCTTCCTGTATTTCAGCTCAAGATAATACATCTTCACTGTAATTGGTTCCTCCTCTTAATCTTTGTTCCAAATTTTCCCACCAAAATTTACATGGTTCTTGGTATTCTTGGCTATCCCATTTGATTTTTAACATAGTTTCACCCATGAGTAGACGTTTGAGGACTTCAAATTTCCGCATCCATTCTGAGTGGCTTTTGGTATTTTCCAATTAAAACTCCATTGCCGACCCATCAGTCTCTCACCACATTGCATTTTAATTCCCAGAAATAAAATTAAAAAGTCTATCATTATCCCATCACATCCATTTTATTCAAGGACATGAAAGGCAAGAATTATTTTTTTCTATTCTTCTATTTTCTTCACTGGCTTGACTTCTTGCTTTTTTTCTTTGATACAGTTTAAACTTGATTACTTCCCAGCCCTCTGATGTTAATCTCTCTAGACTCTCTGTTGAGAATTTAGGAGATGTTCAAATTTTTAAATTTAAGTCCCAAATTGACCTTTTTAGACCTGATCTCTGATTTGCATTCCATTAAGCTATTTATTGAGCACTTAACTATATAACAAAGGTTGAATGTTTTACATGCAAGATTTATTTTAATCCTCATTATACATCGTGCCTCTCATTATTTGATTTCTTTCCTAAATTGTCTTATTTTTCTAGTTGTCTTGTTATGTGTGTCTGTCCACTGCCTCAACTTGTAGAGAATCTTTTATAGACCTAAGAAAATTTTCCTGCAGCCTAATTTCTTGGCCAAATGCTTGCTGATCTTCTTATAAATTAAGTCAATTCTAAATCAGAGGAAATAAAAAAGAGATAAAGGAATAGAGGTAGTAAGTATATTAAGTTCCTATGAGTGAACTTCAGGTAAATGCCTTATTTTAATTTGTTTAGAATATAGGTATTCAAGTAATTACAACTGTGTTTCTTTCCTTTCTCTCTCCCCTCCTAATTTCTCTTAATACCAAAAATGAAGGATATGCTTTCAGTATTTCATTCAAGGTTAAGCACATTTTTAAAATGTGTTCTTTGCTTTCTATTTACAGGAATCATAGCAGTGAACAGTTTTAGACAATGAAATGAAATGCAGGGATTTCAGTGGATTGCAAAACCAGAAAAAACAAATTCATTAACATCTCCTTTATCGGGTAAAGTTATGTTTGTATTAGCTGGGGAATTTAAGTAAAAGAAAAACATTTTGGAGAAAGTGTATTGATTTTTGCATAATAATACAGAGCAATGAAGGTGGATTGCCAGGTATAAGTTCCTCTAGCAATTATGAAGGGTACAACAAAACCACACCAGCACAATGTTGGAACATATCCAGTAGCTATTATTGATTTATAAATGTAAATCCAAATCAAAACTATTAGAAAATATAATTATTCTCTGACAATTCTTTTCCATACATATTATACAGTCAGCATTTCACTTAGCTTAGAAAGCTTTATTTTTAAAGCAGCTTCTGGCCTTGCTATAATAATTCTTGCTTTTTACCCAATTTACCAGTTGGATAATTACTTTTAAAAATCTAAAAACTGAATTGTATAATTTGTGGATTAGTCAGGTTTAGGTAGTAAACAGGTATAACAGATTTTTAAGGCCATATTTTTATTCAGCAAAGGTCTAAGGGGCAAGTGCTGAAGGCTTTGTTGTTTTTTTGTTTGTTTTTATGAAATTGAATTTTTATGAAAGGTGTTGGTATTTGATGGGTTGTGCAAGCCCTTTGGAAGTTATGTAGTACAAAAAGAGAGATTTTAATATGGGACACTCATCCAAAAATGCACATCCTGAGCTGATTTAGAAAGCTAATAGAGAACATAAGCAAACATACGTCATACTGTATCATACTATATCAGCCTGCTACAAGGAAAGGCAAATGTTTTGTTCATCTACAGTGCTGTCAATTTGTTCTATTCAGTGTTTAGTGTTTAAAAGAAAAAGGGAAAAAAAACTTAAGCAATTCCACACAAACAATAAGTTAATTCAAGCATTTTGCCGACTTTTAATTTTTTGATAAGTTGTTTAATTAAAATAATCAATTTGGTTATACTGGGTAGACAAAATTTAAATAAATGCTTTAAGTTGATGTAATAAGAAACCCAGTTCAATGTATCTGTTTTATTTCTTTTCTTTACTCACATATCCCCCATTGATAATATTAACTGCTAAGCTGATTTTCTGTTAAATATAGAAATATGATGAAATTTTAAATACACATTTGTTTCTCTTGAGTAGGTCACTTATGGCTGATCAGGTTCAGATCTATTATTCGGTATTTTCCTAATCCAAATCTGTTGTTAGGAATTTGGACCCTTTATTGCCTCATTTGACAAATAGTAAATTTTCCTTTTTTTGTAGTTAGTAGTAATTCCTTAGTGCCAAACAGGTTAAATATTTAACTCAATGACTGTCACAATCTTAGAAAACTCTCAGTTTAGAAAGATTGGTTTCTAAGCTAAAACAGAATTAGCATCTAGGTGATGCTATGTGAAGACAGCAGTGAGCACCTGGGTGTTATTTTTTTTTTAACCTTTTATTTCCTGTTAAAAAGGAAGCAAAGATTATCTTTAACAGCAGCTGGTGAAAAGATTGGAGTTTAGGAGGATACTTGGAGTAGAAGTCTTGTATAGGAATACTTAGCGTGATTGTGAATATATGACTCATCATGCTTTAATTTCCTAAATGGATTCAGTGCTTTATTTAAGAAAACAAAGCAACAATGTGTTTTGTGTAACAACAAGGTAACACATTTTGCTTTGTTGTTAAGAAGCGAATTTAAGATCTGGCTGCTCTTGTCATGTTCTCACATCAATGAATGAAACACAGAAATCTGATACAAGAGGGGAAGATTGAGTGGTCAGGCAGAGAGAGGGTGCAGATTCCTGGGATCCAAAATAGGATTCAAATACACAAGCGTTAGTTTGACAGACAAGAGAATAAACTGTTTCCCTTTGAAATTTTGATAAAGCACTATATAATTGTCAGTGGAATAGCTACTGATGAGAAACACATTTTTTTAAGCCAAAGATGATTCTAGCTACTACTCAAAATATTTAAATTATAAGATATTTCAAACATAATGGAGACCTATAGAAAGTTACATAGCAATCCATGTATTCATTATGAAGATTACATACTTTTTTTGCCAAATTTGCTTAATATTTCTCTTTTTTTAGATAAAAAAATACATCATATGACTAAAGCCCAGCCATTCCATGCCTTCTTGACCTTGTCTTCTCAGGTTAGCCTCTCTCCTGAATTTGATGTATAGCATTCCTATGAATGTTATTTAGTATTTATTGTATATATTTACGCATCTCAAAGCAATATTTGCTTTATTTTACAGGTTTAAAAAATTGACATAAACAGTGTAGATCTTTTTTGCAGTGTTCTTTTATTCACTCTTAACATTATTTTTAAAGATTTATCCATGTAGATACTGCATTCATTTAAATTACTGCATAATATTCATTATATAGACATGCCAGTTTATTCAAATGTTTTTCTGCTGAGGGACAGTTAGATTGTTTCCACATTTTGCCAATAGTCTTCCAATGAACATCTGTGTTTTCCTCATCTTGTGGGTATGTGCAAGAGTGGAATTGTTGATTCATAGGATATGCCCGCATTCAACTTTTATAGCTATTGTCAAATTGCTTTATAAAGCAAATTGTATTAATTTTTGCACCTCAGCATTTGTGTATAAATGAAAACATTTCCTAACATCTCTGGTACTGATTTGGGTTATTGAATTAACAAATTTTCCCCAACCAAATGGGTTTAAAATAGTTCCTCCTTCATTTGTATTTTACTGATTACTGATGAAGTTGTGTGTTTATTGAGATATTACTTAGCTATGAATGAATCTTATTTAATATGTTTATAAAAGACAGCTTGAAACCAGATCTATGAGTATATTGGAAGTTATTACTGTGCTGATGCTATACTGTTTAACTTACTGTATGTAGCATTATGGAACACTTTATTATGTTGTGGGTGATGGCCTTTTAATTACTTCTCTTCAAAATTGTCTTGCCTACTAGTCTTGACCTTTTCCTCTGATGAATTTTAGCCATAGGTAACCAAACTTTGGGAAAGAGTCTTTTTTTTTTTTTTTTTAATTATACTTTAAGTTTTAGGGTACATGTGCACATTGTGCAGGTTAGTTACATATGTATACATGTGCTATGCTGGTGCGCTGCACCCACTAACTCGTCATCTAGCATTAGGTATATCTCCCAATGCTATCCCTCCCCCCTCCCCCCTCCCCACCACAGTCCCCAGAGTGTGATATTCCCCTTCCTGTGTCCATGCGATCTCATTGTTCAATTCCCACCTGTGAGTGAGAATATGCGGTGTTTGGTTTTTTGTTCTTGCGATAGTTTACTGAGAATGATGATTTCCAATTTCATCCATGTCCCTACAAAGGACATGAACTCATCATTTTTTATGGCTGCATAGTATTCCATGTCTTTTGAATTTGTAGCTTTGAATCTATAGATTGGTTGGCAGAGACTGGCCATATTTAAGTGTCATTTTTGATATGGCATATTTTTCAATTAATTTAGGTCTTATTTACCTTCTTCAGTAATGAAGTTTTTATACTTTCCTCACATGTTCAGATTTATTTATAGTTACTTAATAATGTTTATATTGGATACATAAAAACTAATATTTTAGATATGTTTTATTGTAAATGGTAGCTTTTAAGTACTTTTTAAAGCATTTGTTCATGATAGAAATATATTTGCTTTTTGATTATGATCTTGAATCCATAAAATACGCCATACTCTATTATTAATTCTGCTAATTTGTCAATAGATTTTCAGAGATATTTCTATATAGGCAACCACACTGTTTTATTTGTTTCCCTTGGGCATATACTCAAAAGCAGAATTGCTGGAGGGAGAGAATACATAAATGTTTAGTTTTAGTTAAGAGATACTGCCAAACTGTTTTTCAAAGTACTTATACCAATTTACATTTCATCCCACAATCAAAGAATGTTACAGCTGTTTTTCATCCTTGCCAACACTGGGTGATGTCAGTCTTTTAAAATTTAGACATTTTGGTGGGTATGTGAAATCACCTTGTCATTTTCATTTGCATTTCTTTGATTACTAATGGCATTTGAGTACCATTTCATATGTTTATTGGCTAAATAGTGTATTGATATTCTTTCCTGTAGAGTGTTTACTGAAATTTTTCCCCTGTTTTAAAATTGTATTTTCTGCATTTTAGATAATTGAAAATATCATTATGGGTAAAAATATAATTGATTTGTAGGATACAACTTCTTTGTTTGATGGAAGTATTCTCCCCAGTATGCAGTTAGTCTTTTTTTACCTTCTTAATGATATCTTTTGGTGAACAGATGTTCTTTATTTAATGAAGTCAAATGTATCAATTTTTTCTTTTATGATTAGTACATTTTATGTCTTAAGAAATTTTTATCTGTCTCCAAATCAAGAGTATATACTTTTATGTTTCTCTTAGAAATGTGATCGTTTTGGCTTTTAGGTGTATAACTATTTCCAATTTAATTTTTGTCTATGATTATAATATTTATAATTATAGCTTACTGCTTCAGCACCATTTATTGGAAATACCACCCTTTCTAACTGAGTTGAATTGGTACCTTTGTTATAAATCAGATGACTATGTGTTTGTTACCAATGTTAATATATTTCACTCTTACCTGGCTCTAATTTTTTCTACCACTCATTATGATGTCTTTCTTTGAGCTATGTTTTAAAATTTCCAAATATTTCCTCTTTGTAATTCTTTTTAATTTTACCCTGAATATTTAATGACTTTGTTGTTACGTGCATATAAGCTCAAAAGAATTATATTTTCTAGGTGAACAAATTCCCTCATTCACTTAACAAATTCTATTGAGTATCACACATTTTTTTTTAAGGGACTAGGGATATAGCAATGAGCAAAAGAAAGAAAAAGCTGTTTACATGGGCCCTACATTCTACTGATGGAAGAAAGATAACAAACAACATAAAATATATGTATGTGTGTATATACATATGCATATATATACATATGCATATATATATACATATGCATGTGCATATGTAAGTACATATATGTTTGTATACATACAAACACATGCATGTACATATATGTTTACTTATATATATATGTATTGTTTAGATGGGGTTAAGTGTACAATGTAGAAAAATTGCTGGGAATGGTGACAGAGTATATTAGAAGGAGATACTTGCAATTTTAAATAGGGAGAACAGTGAAGACCTCACACTTGAAAGGAGACATTTCAGCAAAGGCTTGAAGCAGGTAAGAGTGCTAGTCCTGCAGATACCTGGAGGAAGAAGATTCTAGGTAGAAGGCACCACAAGCGCATATGCCCTGGACGACATGTTCTAAGAAAAGCAAGGAGCCAGTGTGGTTAGATTTGAATAAGTGAGACAGAAAGCAGTAAGAGACAAGTCATAGAGGTAATGGGACAAATATACTGAGTAGGGCCTTGAGAGCTATCTGAATGCCTTTGGATTCTTATTTTGAGTGAAATGAGAATCCATTGGGAGGTTTTGAGCAGAGGAGTGATAGGATATAGCTTTTGTTTTAACAGGATCACTCTGGCTGCTGTGTTAGGAACAGCCTGAAGGAGAACAAGGGTGGTAGTAGGAGACCATTAGGGGGCTATTGTCATAACAGAGGGGAAAGATAATCACTTGGACCAAAATGATAGATAGAGATGGAGGTAGTGAAAAGTGCTCTGGCTCTGGGAATTTCTTTTGAAGACAGAGCCTGAATAATTTGCTGATGGTTTGGATTTATAATGTCAAAGAACAAAACATCAAGAATAATTTAAATTTTTGGTTCAAACAACTTTTTTGCTCACTGTGTTATGTCCTATTGTATCTCTAATAATTTGTTTTTGCCTTAAAATCTATTCTAAATTATATTAATGCTGCTAAGTATTTGCCTTTTGTTTTCAACCTTTCTATGGCCTCTCTGGCTTATAGCTGAATTTTCTTTTTAAAATCCATACTCAAATCTTATAAATTTTACTGGGTTAATCTATTTGCATTTATAATTATTAGTGTTATTTATCTCTATCATCTTGTTTTGTACTTTCTATATCTTTCTTTTGTTTTTTTTTTCTATCCCCTGCATCCCTACCTTCTACTGTAGTGATTACTCTTCTTTATTCTCTTTTTTCCCCTTTATTGTTTTGAAAATTATCTATTTTATATTTATTTACTTAGTAATTACCCTTAAATATGTAACATACCATTCTTGATTTAACAAAGTCTAAAGGAAATCAGTACTTCTCTACTCCTCCCAAAACATATCCAGACAGAAAATTCTTGAACTTGAATTCTCCTTTCTATTTTATATATTATTGCTTTCAGTATTTTATTTTAAACTTTTCCTAATGGAATTTCACATCTATTCACAAAAGCATAGAGAAACATACAATAAACATTATGTACCCTTCACTTGGCTTCAATAACTACTTGTAAAGTCCCATCCTGTTTCATCTATACCTCTTCATCCCCCCCATCCCTTCCACGTATTCTTTATTTTAAATAAAGTAATTTCTTCTTTATTTAAAAACAAATTCCAGACATTTTAGGTATAAATAATTGTATCTGTTTTCTAAGAGAGAAATGAGCCACTGTTTTAATTCCCTCTTGTTTGTATGCCTTCAAATTATTTATTTATTTATTTATTTATTTTTTTTTTTGAGACGGAGTCTCGCTCTGTCGCCCAGGCTGGAGTGCAGTGGCGGGATCTCGGCTCACTGCAAGCTCCGCCTCCCGGGTTCACGCCATTCTCCTGCCTCAGCCTCCCAAGTAGCTGGGACTACAGGCGCCCGCCACTACGCCCGGCTAATTTTTTGTATTTTTAGTAGAGACGGGGTTTCACCGTTTTTTAGCCGGGATGGTGTCGATCTCCTGACCTCGTGATCCGCCCGCCTCGGCCTCCCAAAGTGCTGGGATTACAGGCGTGAGCCACCGCGCCCGGCCCTATTTATTTTTATTATTGTTCTACACTAATATCTGTTTAGATTTAGTATCTGTTAGATTTAGATATCCGTGGTATCTGTTTAGATTTAGCTGCACATTTACCCATTTTGTTGCTCATCTTTGCATTTTGCATTCATTTTAGCTTAGTTCCCTTCTTCCTAAACTACATTTTTAGTAGTTCTTTAAGGAAAAGTAATTAATTGTGACTCCTTGTGAATTCTCTTTGTATCAATATTTAAAAATGTGTGCTCCCTGTTGAATAATATATATCTGAGAATAAAATACTTGATTGTCAGTTATTTTCCATAACATTTTGAAGTTATTTCCCCATTGACTTCCAATCTTCACCATGCTTTTGTGAAATCAGGTATCAATCTAGTTGTCTATTTCATAGTTTTTCAATTCACTGCTGTATGTGAGGCTGTGGATTTTTAACCTATTTACCTTAGGTTTCTTAAGGCTGAGAATTCTTGGATGTAATCAATTCTGAGAATTTTTCACTATTATCTTTTTAAATTGTCTCTCCTTATTCTTTCAATTACCTTTTGGAAACTCTTATTTAAAAAATATTGGACTCTTAGTTGGTTTTCCATGATTTTTAACTTTTTTTTATGATTTCTGTCTCTGGGCTAGAGTAATATTCTCAGATTTATTTTTCAGTTCTCTAATTTTCTTTTCAGCTATAGTTTTCATTTCTCAAACTCCATTGATTTTCAGATAGTTACTGATTACCTATTTTCATAATGTCTTACCTTTTGGGGTAGTGCAATTAAGTCCTCTTATTGCTTTAAACATATTGCATTTATATTCTCTTTCAGTTATTTCACATTCCTGTTTGTGTCTATTGACTCTTTCTCAGGGTGGATTTATCCCCAAGTTATTGTGACTCATTTTTGAAGATACGTTGCCTTTTTTTTTTTCCTTTGGTAGAAAATGCCCCTTCCTTAAAGCCTGGAATGTGGAAGAATTCCTCCACGGCAGTTTGGCATTTTCTTTTGCTATATGATCCAGAGACACCACTGATCCAGGATGAATTTTTTCTTTCTAATTATAATAATAATTTCTCAGCTTAGAATTCCCCAGACCACAAAGGTAGAAGAAATTAAGATTGAAAATATGTGTGGCTCACAAACCTGGAGTTTAAATTTATGAGGGAATATTTTTCTTTCTTTTTTTATTTATTTTTGATCTTCTAGAATTAGATGCTTTCCTATGCAGATTTTTAAAATAAATAAATTTCTAAAACTCCTAAACTGTCATAATATACTACAAAAGAAATTTATATTTATTGTAGTAAATGGGAAAAAACTAGAAAATACACCATGAAGGAAGAAAACTTACTGATGATCCCACCACTAGGCTGATGATCACTTTAACATTTGATATTCTTAAAGTTCTATTCTTTATAAATGTATATATTTTTTCAAAAAATGAAATTGGACCAGATAGTACATTTTATAACTATGTTTTACTTAAAGTAATATTTATTTAAAATAATATTATAAAAAAACTTGCATATCTTTAAATATTTTTCTACAACACATTTTCAATTAGGATGATTTTGCTCTCCCATGGGACCATTGGCAATATCTGGGGGACAGTTTTGATAGTCATTAATGAGCAGTGCCGCAGGAATTTAGTAGGTAGAGGCTAGGAATACTGCTAAGCCTACAATACACAGTACATCCCCTACAACAAAGAATTAATCAGCCCCAAATATCAATATTGTCAAGGTTAAGAAACTGTTCTACAACATCATTTGAATGGGTGCTAATAAGATTGTCTTTCTAATGTCCTTTATTCTGATCATGATAGTCCTCAAAAACTCCAGTAACCCTTGTTTGTATTACTTCTTAAGCAGTAATATATGTTGTCTTGAAGTATTAATCATCTCTTTATGCTGTTCAACTAGTCTATGTGTTTTTAAGGAGCTGCTTCTCTGTGCTCTGTTTTGTTGATGACCAGTAGGCCCTCAATTCTTGTCGGATGATAATAGTAAAGTTGATCAGTATTACAAAATAATTAGAATGTGAGCTCTCCTTTTGTAGAGAGGCAATGTAGTGTGTTGAAATACACTTGGATCTGTCATCAGATTCAGGCTTTGTTTCTTAGCAGTTCATGTGACCTGGACATATATTTTTCTAGCCTTAATTTAAACAGCTATAATATGGACATAATAATATCAGCATACAGGGTTTCTGTTAGAATTTGAGAGCATGTGGGTAAAATGCCTGGTGAGAGTAGGTAATTTTTTAATTTTTAATTTTTATTTTTTGAGACGGGGTCTTGCTTTGCCACCCAGGCTGGAGTGCAGTGGTGGCAATCATGGCTCAATGCACCCTTGACCTCCTGAGCTCAAGTGATCCTCTCTCAGCCTCCCAAGTAACTGGGACCACAGGCATGTGGGTCCTCAGTAAGGCCCCACCTTTGGGCCAGGGAGGCCCTGAAGGCTGGGGGACAGGCTGCCAGTCCCGTGGACCAGAATGGGGACTCGTGGTGCCTGTTCTGGGCACACCCATGGCAGCCCATGGACCAATTAGCATGTACTTCCTCCCCTCTGAGGTCCGTAAAAGCCCTGGGCTCAGTCAGAGCAGGGCAAAGGACGGCCAGAGGACAAAGGGAGACATGGGACCTGATGACCAGCTGCAGAAAGGAGTACCCTCTCTGCTGAGAGTTGGAGACAATGCCATGACCAGCTGCAGAGAAGAGTACACTCTCTGCTAAGAGCTGCAAAGAGGACCTGCCAGGAAGAGAGGGGATACCCTCTCTGCTGATAGCTTCAGGGACCTGCTGAGATGTGGGAATGACTTGCCTGTGGAGAGAAGCCACTCTTTCCAGGGCCGCCTCTCTGCTAAAAGCCAAACACTCAACTGGACAACTTGCCTACAGACAGAAGCTACTCACTCCTCTGAGCTGTTCTAACACTAAATAAAACTCTTCTTCACCCTTCACTTGTCTGTGTACTTCATTCTTCCTGGACACAGGACAAGAACTTGGGCAAAGGCCCTGTGGCCACAGAGTTTTCTGGCCAGAAAAAGCGACACCTCAGAGATCCCATAACATTTCTACCACCTCCAAAATCATATTTTGATATACTGCTTCTTTCTTATAAGGCTGATTAGGCCTTTGAAATTTAGGCAAATTCTGAGAATCACTGAAGAATTGTAAAGTACTTGCAGGTACTGTATCTTTATTTTAATTTATTAAACATCTATCATGGACAAGATACTGGGCCTGTTACTCTTGCATACATTAGTACCTCAGTGAATGTTTATATCTATATTCTTACATAGATAATTTTATTTATAGATGAAGTGGAAAAAGGTTGTATGAATACATCATAGAAGTTGTGAATGAACTCATTTTCATACAATTCACATGAGAAGAGTTACCATGTATTTCTCTTACTGGCCCTGAAAAACACCAGTCATTTCTGTGGTAGTTTGTGGTAAACTAGGAGATTAGGATTTCTGTACCTCTGTGTTCAAGGTTTCAAGGGATTCTGCCAGGATAAATAGCTATGGGCCCTAGGGTGGAGAAAGAAATTATGGTTTATTTTATGTATTTCCTGTCATCTCTATTGCTGGTTATTCCTAGTCTAGTTTTGAAAAGGATGGGCCATAAATATATTTGTGTATATGTGCCAATGTACAGACTGTGTATGGGCCTGTGTGGCTATGTATATGAGGCTTTGAATTGACTTGGGTTTTGTAGCATCCTGGCCCATTGACCACAATATCTCTCAACCAGTCCCAAGTAGTTTTAGAAAAAGTTAGTGTTGCCTGAGTATACATAACTTTTGGTCTATCCACTGCCTTCCCTTCCACTCGACGAGTTTCATTTGGGTTTGTAGGACTTTGGTGAATTTTGAAGAGACTTCTAGATAGATATTGTAGGATCCATTCACTGCTTGTCACATCTTCCCTATGGTTTTATACTGAGAGAAAGCAAGAGCTTTGGAATCATAGAATGAAGTTCTAATCCTACAACATACTTACAATGTAACCTTCCAGAATTCCATCTGTAAACTGGGGATCATAATATCTACCTCTATAATTTGGGGGAGTTGAAAATAATATGTTTAAAGCACGTACAATGATGTGTGACACATTGTAGGCATTTGAATAAAGGCCTATATCTGTCATCTTATAAATGAACTATTATATATGGAAGTCACTGAGCGCTGTGCCTTTCATATAGTGTTCTGTAATTGTTTTTGTGGACAGATACACAAATTGCATTTTATTCATTTGTGGTGTATATCCACACATGGCATACAATAGGGAACTGTGAATACTGGTCCTTAAATATGAGAAATTCACAGTGGTCCACCAAGAAAGGCTGCTGCTTCTAGAACTTGTCTACAGTGCAGTATAGATGACAAAATTCCCAATTAAAAAGTTTATTTTTGTGTGTGCAGTATTTGTGAGGTGAAAACATTTGTGTTGGCATTCACAAATTGATATGCTTTAATATTTTGAAAATTAGAACCGTAGTTCAGAGAACAAATTCTTAAATTTCATGAAAATTATATGCAATAATTTTCTTAATTTCTCTTAATATTTTAGAGCTTTTTAGGTAATGTTTCTAAAGTTGGAGTAAAAGATGACCCACAGAGGTGACATTCATTTTTCTTCTCTCCAGGCTCAGGATGGGCTGTTTCTACATATTAAGCGAAACGAGATCTTGACTGATGCATTCTGTTTCAAAAAACAGGTCAAGGTTTTCTGACATTGCTCTGAGAGAAAAAGGAATCAGAATGTCTGGGAAAAAAATTGAGATGTCAGTCTTCTCTCTTTTACATGGAAAAAATCAGCAAGTTTCTGTTATTGTCTCAGGATCTGAATACTCACAGACAGTGCAGGAGAAAATTCTGTTTTGGATGCTTCTAATGTCCCCAAGTTTTTCAGGAGGAACAGAATTCTGAACTCAGTTCTTGACTGGTATGTGAATAGGCTGACATGCATTTTTGATTTTCACAGGGTCACTTTTATAGCTCAGTACCTACAGGGCAGAATACAAAATAAGACTATAGAATACAGAATGCCCTAGAACAGCTATCCTTAAAATATCATGCTAAATATTCCAAGGAAAAACTCTGTTTACGATGGAAATAAAACCTTCAGCAATGCGTACAAATAATAATTCAAACAGCACCAAATAAAATGTATCTCACTGTGGTTTATGGTAAGCAGTGAGACCCTAGTGGAACAGTACTGGGTCATGAAGTGCTTTGGAAACACAAAATGGCAGCCTGGATCTCTTGCTACACTGTGAATTCCTTCAGGGCCAGAGGTATGTATCGTTTACCTTTGCACCACTGGCAGCAACGCTAAGACTGTCCTCTTCATGTGGTTGACACTCAATAACTATTTGTTGATGGGATGAGTGAAAGACATAGTTGACCACACTGACAAGGGACAGGCTTCAGGCCACATTAATCAGGGCTGTAAAATATGTCATGCGGAGTTCTGGACAGATCCACTATCTCTGCCTTTGCACTTCCTGGGAGAGGCAGGGCAGACACATAGCATGTCTTGTGGCTGGAAGCTGTCACTGCACTGTTACATTGCTCTGGACAGAATGAGTTTCTAAAAGAAGCGTGCCTATATGTATGTATGTATGTATATATATATATTTTTTTTTGGCAGAAAACTGAGCATATTATATAATATATAAGTTGATAGTGTATCTACATTCTTGTCTTGATGCTTCTTGAATGTAACTTCTTTGAAAATCACGTTTGTGTCTTGTTCTGTTACACTGAGACACAGTGTTGTTTAATGGATAAAAAATGGACTCTGGATCCGACTGCCTGCAGGAGAAGTCCTGGCTCTGGCAATTACTGTGCGACCTGGGCAGGTTATATAACCTACAGTTTCTTGGTATCCTCATCTGAAAAATGTGATTAGAGGGTTATTGTGAAGGTGAAATAAAGTTGATGTACAAAAATAGACATCTAAATGTTATTTGGCATACGGTACATTCTGAAAGAAAGGTTGCCATTTGACAGTACTGTGTGCTTGTACTTTGCAACAGGAAGTAAGAACAAAGATGCCTATTTTATAAGCAGCTATTCTATGCCTGTTGCTTCACATAACTTATTTATTATGAAGTAAAGTGTTATATAAAGCATATCTGTCTTGCTTCTTATCCAAGGATATCTAGTAACTGTAGGCTAAAGTGCCTGTGTTAGTTTCCTAAGCCTCCTATAAAAAATTACCACAAATTTAGCGGCTTAAAAGAACAGATATTTATTCTCTTATAGAACTGGATGTCAGAAGTCTGCAATCAGTTTCGCAGGGCTGAAATCAAGGTGTCAACAGGGCCACACTCCATTTGGGTACTCTAGAGGAGAATTCATTTCTTGCCTCTTCTAGCTTCTGGTGACTGTCAACATTCCTTGGCTTTTGGAGGCATCAGTCCCAGCTCTGTCTCCATGGTCACATTGCCTGTTCCTCTGCCGTGTGTGTAAAATCTCCCTTTGCCTCCTCCTTATAAGGATACTTGTGATTACATGTAGGACCCACCCAGATAATTCAGGATAATCTCCTTATCTCAATATATTTAACTTAATCATATCTGCAAAGACCAATTTTGGTCATAAAGGTAACAGTCACAGCTTCCAGGGATTAGGACATGGATATCTTTTTGAGGGTCATTTCTCAGCCTACCACAGTATCCTATAAAGATATTTCAGAGAAGGAACTCTAAGACCCTATAGTGAGACTCAGTACACTTATTAAACTATCCCCAAAGCTGGGATTAAATAGTCAAAATAATGGGGTATCTCAGCATTGAGTATCACTAAATTTAAGTTAATCATTATTCCTTTTTATTTTTTACTGTTATTTTAAACTGATTTTAACAATTTCTGATACCATTTAAACATCAATTACATTAATCCTGACATTCTATAATTTCATATTCCCAGCAATTCTCTGATTTTGTCATGACTGATGTTATCTTTTTATTATAAATGAGAAAACTAATGTTTAGAAAAGGTAAGTGCCTCGCCCAAGATTAAAACTTTGAGTAGATCCATGATGCCAGCCAAGGTCTTTTGACTTCAAAACAAACACACACACACACACACATACACACACACACACATGTATATACATATACATATATGTGTGTATATATATATGTATATGTGTGTGTATATATGTATATACGTATGTATATATGTATGTGTGTATATATATACATACATATATACATACGTATATACATATATACACACACATATACATATATATACATACATATATACATACATATATACACACATATATAGATACATATATACACACACATATACATACATATATACACACACATATATACACATACATATATACACACACATATATACATACATATATATACACACACATACATACATACATACCTATACACACACACATATACGTATATACATATGTATGTGTATATATGTGTGTGTGTGTATATATTTATTTTTTAATAGCCCAATATAACAGAATAGATAAGCAAGTATTCTTAACATTTAATCCTTGTGCTTCTTAAAAGAGCTTTTTTTTAAATTTTTTTCGCAGATGGGGTCTCACTCTGTCACTCACGTTGGAGTGCAGTGGTGCAATCATAGGTCACTGCAACTTCAAACCCCTGGGCTCAACGGACCTTCCTACCCCAGCCTCCCATGTAGCTGGGACTATAGGTACATGCCACCACACCCAGCTTATTTTTTCAATTTTTTGTAGACATGGTTTCTTCCTTTGTTGCCTAGGCTGGTCTTGAACTCCTTGGCTCAAGTGATCCTCCTGCCTTGGCCTCTCAAAGTGCTGGGATTATAGGCATGAGCTACTGTGCCTGGCCTGGGTTTTTTTTTTTTTTTTTTTAAATACGTTTTAATTTTTTGAAGAATCTTATACAAATTTTATAATTTTTTAGGGTTTAGAAATTGTTTTGATGATGAGCCAGATATTGTAGTTTAGAAAGGATAAGTACTGCTTGGTATGAAGAAAAAGTAAAGAATAAGGAGGGAGCATTCTGGAAATTTTTATCTTTTTCTTCCCTATAGTTTAACACCCATAGTTTTTAAGAAAATATAGAGTTGCTATAGCATAACTCCTATGGAGTTCTATCTGTCTAAAAATCAGTCTGATATTGGTCTGTTGAACTGCCTGTGTACAATATAAGCATTAAAGCACTTACAATTGTTGCCTGGCAAGGTTGAAAGATTGGAGTGAAATATTGGCAATCATAGAAGGATTAATGGCAAGGAATAGCTGACAAAAGGAAATAGTGCACTGTTAGATGAGGAGAAACTGGTGGCTGGCTGCGAAGAGGGCCCACATCATTAACATCTTCATCAAATTTTTGTTTTCGTGTTTTTCTTGTTCTTCTGCTGTCTTGTAATATTTGCTCATCAGATAATTACCAAAGATATAATTGGAAAAGATGGTTCCCAAGTGATTTTTTAAATCTTCATAGTTACAAGCATGAGCTCTAACCATGAAAGTCACATAAAGACTGCACTTAAGTAGTTCTCCATCCAAAAGAGGGAGGGAGAGGTGTCACTTAATGAATTATTCTATGTACATTGATTTAAAAAATTATAATATGGAGTGAAAACATAGACAAATCTAACAAAATTGTAGCAAAAATTAAAATAAGTACATTTCGTGGTTCAGCTTATTTACCATTTTGTGAGGAAAATGGAATTTTCTGTAGCTATTTTGGAGAAATAACATCAGATTGGAAAAGAACAATAAAATGAGGCAAAGCAGGAAAATAATTGTCCCAGATGTTTCCTGGATATCCCTACATCATGCATTGACTAGTAAGTGACTTTCTTTCTATTTTAAAATCCATCCAAGGACCAAGGGAAAATTAAATAGTGAGTTCTCTGGTAGAATTGGATTTTATAAATGCAAGGAATGTAAGAGCTCCTTAAGACAAAGAAAGCTCTACATCAGTTGAATGTTTCCAACACAGGAACATAATAAATAGGTTAGATATCAGCAAATGTGGTTCCTAAAATGGTAAAAGGGCATAATCACAAAAATGAGGCCGACATTATTTGTATAGATGCTGTAGTTTTTTGTTAAAACTATGCATAAGCATATACACAAAACCCACCACTGACCTCACCTTCAGTTTGATTATTCTCTGTCTCTGTCTCTGTCTCTGTGTTTCTCTCTTTTATTTACTTTGAAACAACCTTTGTGGTGAGGTTAGTATCTGGGAAGAGTGTCCCAGAACCTAAGGTACCTTAAACCAGCACTCCCCAACCTTTTTGGCACCAGGGATGGATTTCGTGGAAGACTATTTTTCCACAGAACTCTTTGGCTCAAGCAGTCCTCCTGCCTTGGCCTCCCAAAGTGCTGGGGGTTGGGGGATGGTTTCAGGATGAAACTGTTCCATCTCAGATCATGAGGCGTCAGTTAGACTCTCCTAAGGAGTGCACCCTCGCATGCACAGTTCACAATAGGGTTCAGGCACCTATGAGATTCTAACGTGGCTGCTTATCTGACAGTGGAGCTCAGTGGTAATGCTCACTCACCCTCTGCTTACCTCCTGCTGTGCAGCCCACTGACTGGTACTGGTCCTGGGGATCCCTGGCTTAGACTATCAAATTATGATACAATGTCAAAGTTTCATAAAATGGCTGAAGTGAAAGAAGTTATTGAGAGGCAAATCTCAATGAGTTAGACTATTGGCCTAAATTAGGGAATCAATCAGTTTTTGTGGCTTAAAAACCACCCCAAATCTCAGTGGTTCAAAATAACATTGTTTACTTTTGATCTTGGCTACATGTTGATGTGGGAAGGGGGGCCGGTGACAGGTGTCTATGTGTCTCTCCTCCCCTAACTGAATCATGTTCTTCTCATGGTGATGGTGGAAGCCAAAAAGAACAAGCCCAACCACAGGAACACATTTCAAATCTCTGTGTCAAATCTGCTAACATCAACTCTGCAATGAGAATTGGCCAAAGTGAGTCACATGGCCAAGCCCAAGCTAAATGAAATGAAGATACTCTTCCTATGGAAGCTGGGGGAGGAGACCAAAAATTTCTGAACAATAATTTAAATTACCACAAATACAAAAAACTTACTTTTTCCTTGTGCATTGTAGCATGCAGAAGAAGAGTGACAGCTACAGTATTCCATGGCACCTAATGCCATTTCCCAGACTGCTGTGGCTTCTAGAGGAAGCCAAAGATGCTGTGCACTGCAGCTACCACTTGCCAGCATGCTTTGCAACCTCCACTTCTGTCTGCTATGACCAGGAAAGGAAACTGCCAGTTGGCATGTATGTGTTGTAATGGGATGTGGGGCCTGCAATGCAAAGATCTTGGGCTAGGCTGTAAGAGAATCATGGGCCGAATTCCAGTTCTGACACCACCTATACAACGTTAGATAGTATCATTACTTGTGAGTCTCATTTTCCTGAACATAAACTGAGAATAATATTTTCCTCTCAGTATCCTTGTGAAAGCAAAATTATCTCATAAGTGATATGTCTAGCATGGTGCCTGGCCCCAAGCAGGTGCTCTCTTCTTCTCTAAGGATCTAGGAGGAGTAAGTAGAATGAGTGAGATCAACCTCTGTGAGACAACCATTTATCTGTATATTATTGCCTTGTATGGCACTTACCACTGGTGGTGTTGTCTTACGTTTAATAGGCCTCTGTTTCTACAATTACATTAAAACATTTTTGGAAGGAAGATTCTTTTTTTTTTTCTTGGTCTTTTTTTTTTAAGTTTTTTTTTTCTTTTATTATTATACTTTAAGTTTTAGGGTACATGTGCACACTGTGCAGGTTAGTTACATATGTATACATGTGCCATGCTGGTGCGCTGCACCCACTAACTCGTCATCTAGCATTAGGTATATCTCCCAGTGCTATCCCTCCCCCCTCCCCCCACCCCACAACAGTCCCCAGAGTGTGATGTTCCCCTTCCTGTGTCCATGTGTTCTCATTGTTCAATTCCCACCTATGAGTGAGAATATGCGGTGTTTGGTTTTTTGTTCTTGCGATAGTTTACTGAGAATGATGATTTCCAATTTCATCCATGTCCCTACAAAGGACATGAACTCATCATTTTTTATGGCTGCATAGTATTCCATGGTGTATATGTGCCACATTTTCTTAATCCAGTCTATCATTGTTGGACATTTGGGTTGGTTCCAAGTCTTTGCTATTGTGAATAATGCCGCAATAAACATACGTGTGCATGTTTCTTTATAGCAGCATGATTTATAGTCCTTTGGGTATATACCCAGGAATGGGATGGCTGGGTCAAATGGTATTTCTAGTTCTAGATCCCTGAGGAATCGCCCCACTGACTTCCACAATGGTTGAACTAGTTTACAGTCCCACCAACAGTGTAAAAGTGTTCCTATTTCTCCACATCCTCTCCAGCACCTGTTGTTTCCTGACTTTTTAATGATTGCCATTCTAACTGGTGTGAGATGGTATCTCATTGTGGTTTTGATTTGCATTTCTCTGATGGCCAGTGATGATGAGCATTTTTTCATGTGTTTTTTGGCTGCATAAATGTCTTCTTTTGAGAAGTGTCTGTTCATGTCCTTCGCCCACTTTTTGATGGGGTTGTTTGTTTTTTTCTTGTAAATTTGTTGGAGTTCATTGTAGATTCTGGATATTAGCCCTTTGTCAGATGAGTAGGTTGCGAAAATTTTCTCCCATTTTGTAGGTTGTCTGTTCACTCTGATGGTAGTTTATTTTGCTGTGCAGAAGCTCTTTAGTTTAATTAGATCACATTTGTCAATTTTGTCTTTTGTTGCCATTGCTTTTGGTGTTTTAGACATGAAGTCCTTGCCCATGCCTATGTCCTGAATGGTAATGCCTAGGTTTTCTTCTAGGGTTTTTATGGTTTTAGGTCTAACGTTTAAGTCTTTAATCCATCTTGAATTGATTTTTGTATAAGGTGTAAGGAAGGGATCCAGTTTCAGCTTTTTACATATGGCTAGCCAGTTTTCCCAGCACCATTTATTAAATAGGGAATCCTTTCCCCATTGCTTGTTTTTCTCAGGTTTGTCAAAGATCAGATAGTTGTAGATATGCGGTGTTATTTCTGAGGGCTCTGTTCTGTTCCATTGATCTATATCTTTGTTTTGGTACCAGTACCATGCTGTTTTGGTTACTGTAGCCTTGTAGTATAGTTTGAAGTCAGGTAGTGTGATGCCTCCAGCTTTGTTCTTTTGGCTTAGGATTGACTTGGCATGTGGGCTCTTTTTTGGTTCCACATGAACTTTAAAGTAGTTTTTTCCAATTCTGTGAAGAAAGGCATTGGTAGCTTGATGGGGATGGCATTGAATCTGTAAATTACCTTGGGCAGTATGGCCATTTTCACGATATTGATTCTTCCTACCCATGAGCATGGAATGTTCTTCCATTTGTTTGTATCCTCTTTTATTTCCTTGAGCAGCGGTTTGTAGTTCTCCTTGAAGAGGTCCTTCACATCCCTTGTACGTCGGATTCCTAGGTATTTTATTCTCTTTGAAGCAATTGTGAATGGGAGTTCACTCATGATTTGGCTCTCTGTCTGTTGTTGGTGTATAAGAATGCTTGTGATTTTTGTACATTGATTTTGTATCCTGAGACTTTCTTATTTTATGCTCTATGTCTCACACAGCACCTAGTACAGTCTCACCCCTGTGAGGCAGTATCAGGAGAGGGAGAAAACTTGCCTTTAAAGTTAAGCATCTCTGCTAGTTTTGGGCCTCACCTGTAGCTGGCAATTTCCTTCTCTGGCTCTCTTTTATGCATCTCTAAGATAAGTTTGGACTCCATTCCCTAGAACTGTTCCTGACACATAGTAAATGCTTAGTCAACATGTTCTGGGTGAATGAATAATATGTATATAAAATATCATCAGGCTTTAAAATTCTTTAATAAAGTTGAGTTCAGGCAGAGAAATAAGTAACTGAAAGCTTTTAAATAAAATGAATTAAATGTTATTTCTAACAATGCATTATCAGATTTCATATTTCTCCTTCCCAGAAAAATAATAAATGAAGCAAATGAAATCCTGGGAAAAAAAACATTTGCCGTGTGAAAAGACAGATGTGAGCAGCTTTCCTTTTGAAGTAACTTGTGATTTCTATTTAACTATGAAAACAATATCTATTCAGGCAGACATCTTCCTAAGTTCATCATGTTGACAAAAATCCCATGTAGAGTATACAATTTGGCACATTTAGTTTGTCTTGATGAGTTACAGCTTTTATATGATAACTCAATGGATCTGTTGGACATTGAATAACTTTCGTGAGTTCCTTATTGACTCTCAATGACAAAAATTCCTGTATCAACCAAAAATACATTTACCATCAAAACGCAGGAATGTTCTTCGTTGTTTTTTTTTTTTTCTGCAAACACATTGTTTGTAACCCTAGTTTTTCTATAAAAACTTGAAAGAAATACATCTAAACATCTTGGTCTATTAAAGTAGCAGGAGAGATGGTTGAAACCAGACTGTCATGCTTTGTTGTGGAATTCCCAGCAGTAATTTATGGAGCTTTGGGTAGTGTTGCTGTTTTTATCATTCCCCTGACACCAACCTACCCTGAGAAACATTTTTTTTTCACTGCCCTTAAGAAACTGTGAAGACTTTTGAAGAGATAAGAAAGGAAGGAGTATCTATTCTCTCTGTCTCTCTCTCTGGCCTCACTCTTCCAAGAAACAGTCCTAGCAATTTCTTCCAGATCCACAGGATATTCTTAGTTGTCCTAAACTGGATGTTTTAGGCACTATTGTACTGTGGTTAGGGCCTAGAATCTAGAGCCAGAGCTGCCTGTGTTTAAATCCTGGCTCCACACTTTGGGCAATTTGCTTAACCTTTTTGTGACTCAATTTCCTTACCTACAGAATGGAAATAAAAGTTACTCCTGTTGTGAAGATTAAATGGGTCACTATACACTATGGGTTTACAGTAGTGTCTGGCATGTAGTAGGCTATCATATAATTATTACTATCATTATATCATTATATAAATTATATAAATTATTACTATCATTATTATATAAATAACATCTTTCCAGGTTTATTGTTCTATTCCTTTGGTTGAGGCTGAATGCTATTGTGGTTACAGTTTGTCAGCTTCTTTCCTCTTGTCTTTTCACCATTTATTCCATTTTTAGAAACATCCATTCAAATTTGAGGAGAAACAGTAAACTCTTTAATAAAAGCAACTCATCAGGCAGGGAGAAATTTCTAAGCTATTTAGAGATGTTACCGTCTTTCTCTAGCTTTGGTGTGTTTTATGTTTTCCTTTGGGCAGCAAACTCATTCTGAAATTATAAAAAGAGTTGTGAAGCTCTGGTCTTGCATCAGTATGATTTTGGATGCATCCAACTTGCATGCTGAAAATCATCTTTCCAGAAACACAAAGCCATGAGTTGGGGAAAAATAATCATTTCTCCAATTCAGTGTCAGTAAAGAATTTCCTGCAGCAGGAATGAAAGACAAGCTTAGAATATACATCTGACAAGAAACTAAAAATGATCAGATTTTATTTAAAATGAAATACACAATGTATTAGACACCTCTGGGGCATCATCGTGTTCTTTTCATTAGTTTCTTATGTGTTCTGCTGTCCTTCATTAAGATGTCTGCTCTCTCTCTTTCTGGAGAATTAAAGCAGAAATTTGAACTTCCAGGGCATATCAATAAGCCACCTGTTGTACAGATTCTTCATATTGTTGTTGTGCAAGTGCAGATGGAAAAAAAAAAAGAGATGCAACGTTTGAAAAAATTGGGGTGTTGCAAATTGGGTCAAATATTTGCCTTTAAAATTTAATCTCTTAGAATGCAAATTACTTATTTGACAAGTGCCCTAGATGGTTTATTAGAATACAGTACGTGGGGTACAGATTGCCTGGACATTTTGCTGAAGAGAACAACTTGCCTCTCTTGCCAAAAAAGTCACTTTGGATATGGTCAGTATATCCCTAGAATACGTATTAGGAGGCAGCCTGTGAACTTTGATAATGTACAGCAGAAATACTTAATGTCTGCTAAGAAATTCCAGTTTGGCATTTGTGTTTTGAAACAATGGTAAACTGGGGTCAGGAGGTGGGGCCTTCTTTAGATCAAGAGCAGGTGACCTACTTTTTGGGACACTCCAATGTTTAAAGACTATTAAAATAAAGAAATCAATTTTGAAAAAAACAAAACACAAATATTGTTTCTATGAGTCTGATGAGATGCAAAAATGTGCCTTGCTTATATTCACTTATTCCTTGCTCAGATTTAGGATGGAGACAGAAAAATGGAGATACAGTCTTGCTGCTATTGGGTATAATTCTTGTGACCTTTTCACATCTCTATGATGAAATGAAGAAGGTGAGAGGAGTAAGTTTCATCTACTCTTGGATAACATTAAAAAAAAAAACTACCTCTTTCCCGCCATTTTCACAGCCAGATCCTAATCAACTTTCCTCTGGGCTCTGATAAAGTTTCTTTGTCAGCCTCCTTGCCTGGCCCTTCTGCTGGAGCTGAAAAAATAATTGCTCTCTCTTAAGGGTCATTTTGACCATGTTATATCTCTTTATTTGAGTCCAGATTTCCTCTCAATTACTTTTTTCTTTGTTTTGGTCAGGAAGAAAACTTTCAAGCTTGTTTTTTTAAAAGTTGAAGAACATAGTAAGTCATGAAAAACAAAACAAGAGAAAACTCCAAACTTAAGTTCCCCACAATCCCTAAACTGTTCCTAATATTGGGGTGGATGTATATGTATGTGTATACATGTGTTTGACTTATTTCTTGCAATAAAAAACTCCAAAACTTAGTGACTTAAAATACAACAGCTTTCACATCTCTTAAGACTTTGTGGCTTAGTAATTTGAACAGATCTTGGCTGGGTGATTCTTCTACTCCATGTTGTGTTGAATGAGGTCACTTGGTAGTTTTTAACTGGTAGCTTACCAGGGTCTAGAGATTTCAAGGCAGCGTTACTCACCTGCCGGGTATCTTGACCACAATGACTCTGCTGGGCCCTTTTCCCTCGCCAGATGAGCTGAAGGTCTCTCCATAAGGTCTCTTCAGCTGGTAGTTGGAATCTTTACACTCAGGCCTCAGGGCTCCAAGAGTAAGTTTTGAGAGATAGGAAGAGGAAGCTGCCAGTGTCTTAGGGGTGAGGAAACTAACATGATGCCACTTCTGCTGTATTTAATTGGTCAAAGGAGTTCCAGAGTCTGTCCAGTTTCTCAGAGAGGAGTGTCAGAGGATTTGTGGCCGTCTTTAATTTTCTATAATTTACCCTTTGGTCACGAATGATTTATACTTCTCTCATATGCAAAATATACTTGTTCTAGATCACTAAAACCTCATCCCGTTACATCAGGGATTGGCAAACTATGGGCTTCCACTTATTTTCATAACGTTTTACAGGAACATAGACATGCCTTTTAATTTATATGTTGTCTAGTGCTGCTTTCATGCTGTAATAGTAGAGTCGAATAATTGTGACAGAGGCCTTATGGCCTGCAAGTCTAAAATATTTACTATCTGGCCACCTCCTGCTATCAGCTCAAAGTCCAGGATCTCATCTTTTAAATTAAGGCAAGATAGAGATAAGGATCCTTAAGCACAGTTCATCGAGTACAGTTACTTTCTATCTGAAGAACTATGAACTCAAGAGACTAACCTCCACAATACACAATGGTAGCTCAGAGATAGGGGAACCCCAATGGACATTCCATTTCAGAACGAAATGGTAGGCACATAGCAGTCACTAGTCCTTAGCAGTTCTAAAGTCTAATCAAGCATATTTTGCCAGTTCCTTGATTATGGCCCTGCCCTACTCCTTGGGGAGACTTTTCCATGGCTCGTGGCTCAATCCTCCGGGCTTTTGGTTCTGCCAAAATTATCCTTCCTTTTCTATGTGACCTGTGTTTAGAGCTGAGTAGTTTTCTCAGCCTGCTTCTTGCCCATAGAAGGTTGGGATCCAGCAATGTGTTTTCATTCTAAACTGTTTCTGTCTCTTTTAGTTAAAGTGAAAAAAATTGTTTTATAAACTTTATGAGTTTGTTCGGCATCATTTTATAATAAACTTCTTTAGACAAAAGCCACACCAATATTTCTTTCTTAGATACCCCCTTCTCTACCTTTGGCAACCGTGAACCTGTTATGGGATAATACCCTGATGATTCTGAAAAGTCCAGCTGCTTAACTGAGAAGGTCTGTGAAGCATACCCCAGAGATTCTTTCCTACTAGGACTTAAATATTTCGGAATGGTCTTACAGCCATGCCTTGAAATCTTTAACTTGAAGTCATGCTTTACTGATGGCACTCTGGATTTCAGCTTTGCTTTGAAGCTATTTCACTGAGAATATTTTGCTGGGAGAGACTGGGAATAAGGAATAATTTTTACTTTCAAACTAAGCAAGTCCTAGATTCTTCATATTTTCTCTAAAATCTTCTGGAATGCTTAATAGTTCCTTTTTAAGCCTGTCAGTCTTTTCTAGTCTGTGGTCATAGGCATCTAGAAGCAAGCTGGCACCTTCTACCTTCTGTGGGGCAATCTCCCCAGAACCGATTCCCAGATTCATTAGGCATCCTTTCTATTTTCCACATGACCACAGGTGTCAGTGTTGCCAAACTTCCCACGACCATTTTTTTTCACTCCCACCAACAGACTCCCTAGGCCCTTTGAGCTTCTTCTTCTTCTTTTTTTTTTTTTTTTTGAGATGGAGTCTTGCTCTGTTGCCCAGGCTGGAGTGCAGTGGCGTGATCTCGGCTCACTGCAATGTCCACCTCCCGGGTTCACGCCATTCTCCTGCCTCAGCCTCCCGAGTAGCTGGGACTACAGGCGCCCGCCACCAAGCCTGGCTAATTTTTTGTATTTTTAGTAAAGACAGAGTTTCAGTCCCAGAACCAATGGCTCATAGTTTAGATTTTTTGTTTGGGCATTATTCCATTTCCAGGTACCAAATTCTTATATATGTATTGCATAATTACTGACATCATTCTCTTTTACCTATCCTCTCCTGTAACTTGATATATTCTGCCTATTGCTCACACACTAAATTAAATAACTGTTTCTTATTCTTTCTCTAGGTATTTTGCTGCAATGACTATGTGTTCTGAATATTCTGACAGAGTTAAGATTTGTGTGTCAAGGAATCCCTAAGTCAAATATAATTGTTTACACCTCAATTATTTCCTAGGATTGATTTCCTCAATCTCTTTTAATGCTGCAACTTGGCAGGAAAAATATTGGAAAGAGAAAAACAGAAGGAAATTAAATATAAGGACAGGAGAAAGGTCATAGGCAGCTACCTCTTTATCTTTGGAGTAGTTTAGTTTAGGAGTTTAGGACATAATTTAAGAAGTGCTTGGTAGTTAAGTGTATCATGATACATGGCCATAGCATGGACTCTGGCCCTTTTTTCCTGTTTTTGCTTCTCCATTTTTGAATTCTCTACACATCTTCAACCTAATAGATTGGCAAAGCTGAGAGGTTGGCAGGTGAGTGTGGGCTGTGCATACAAACAACTAGTTGTTTCTGGGTTGCAAATATTGTTTTGTGTCAACTGGTTTTTGGTTAATTGTCTTAATTCACTACCACTATTTTCTCAGACCTATTAGGGCAGTTATTCTTGGGGAGGTAGCAGAATGGGAATGGTATAGATGAAGGAAATGGAAGGAAAGGGAAAGGAAGCATACATATCAGAAAAAAAAATCACCTGGAAAGCTTATTCAAAATACACATATCTGGATTCCCAGTAGGAATCACTAGAGAAGTGGTGGTTGTTTTCCAGGGGCTCTTCACAGTCTGATGGTATCTTCTTCAATAATTGGGCTTTTAATTCTATTTTATCAAACAATTCTGCTTGCTTTACAATTTTTTCACTCATGGTTTGGCACTGGATTCTTGGTCAGAACTTTATAGTATAGACCTCTGAACAAGTAAGTTCTACTTCTTTGTGGGCCTCATTTAGTACTCATCCTTCCTACCTTACAGAGGAGTTTCAAATACTATAATGGATGTGAAGTACCTGAAAACTCTAAAGAGCCTTGAGCATCATTTTGAAGGGCTTTGAAAGGCTTTCCTGTGGAAAAGACTTCCCGTGGAAGAAGCATTATCCATGTTGTCTGTGCTCCCACAGGTAGCACAATTTAAAATAAAACTAAATCAGCTTAACTTTCCACTGTACACCCCAAGTGTGGGCAGCCAGCTGCTCTGCATTTGAGAGTGATGCATTAAAACATCATGAAAGACTTCCAAGGGGGTATTCAAAATCCAGTCAGGCAACCATTAGCAACTCTTCTTCCTTCAAGGAATAGATGGGTTCACCTGGAGTCCTGAAGATGATATTTGTGGAGAGGGCCCTTAGGGTGTTTTCACTCTCCCCAGTCATGTGTGGTAGGAATAAAGAAGGTCTTTTTTCTCTTTCTAAGTTCAGGGAAAGAGGTTTTAGTGGACTGAACCACTGTTGAGAGCTAGACATGCTTTTCTTAAAGTTGCTGTCTGGCTTATTCAAAAAATATATCTACATGGCTGAAGACTATGGTTATCTGGCTGTGACGGTGGTGAGAAAAGAGGTAGATACAGTGGCACTAACCTGCTCAGAAATTGGGATCTTAATGCCATTTGACCAGACCATTGCTACTTGCTCCTTTAGAGTTAGTCTAGCTAAGGATGCATGGTTATCTCCTCTGGGCTGGATAAGGTCACACAAGAGGAGTTGTCTTGGATCTTGCCCCAGAGTGTCACATAAGAAGGACACTGAAATGTCAAGGGAAGTACTAGCAAGAAATCCAACGATGGTGGGATGTCAAGGGGCTTGAAAGAAAGCCCAACTTTAAATGTCTGCTAAGATCAAACAGCATCAAACTTATACTGCCATAAAGTACCAATGAAAATGAGATCTTTCTTGATCTTTGCCTCCTCTCTCTCTCCATCCTCAACCTGGAGGCGGCAGAGGTAGCCTAGTGAGTGACTGGGAGGAAAAGTGCCAGGTGGGGAAAGAGATATATATATCATATGAATATAAAGAAAAAAGTCACGGGGACTTTCCAAGTGTTTATAAGGGCATGAAAACAAAAGAACCAGCTCCTCAGAGCAAGCTTTAATGGCAGTGGCAGTAAAAATAAATTTATTTTCTGTTGCACTTTTGGAGTCTTGTTCAATGCAATGATTGCACAGATGCTTGTGTTAGAACCTAGGAGTGGAAGTTGCAGGCTTATTTCTAAGAAAACATTTGTAACCACAAGAGTTGTTCAAAAAAAGTTTTTCAATAGAAGAATGTTGTTTGACTTAATTATAAAAGTTCTGATAGCTACAAAATTAGGACTAAAAAATATGCTATATAATTTTTTTTATTGTCAGTGCTTATTAGTTCTTTTCTTCCCCACTCACCTTATTTTGCAAGTTACTTTTGGCTGAAGCTGATATCAATTGCCACATTATTCCACACAATTTCCTGGTCTCACCTCTACAGATAACATATGGATTTAGCTACTAACATGTTTTTCTAGCTTTCAGAAATGTAGGCAAAAGTTGGAAGCTATATATCATTTCAGAAAACCTACTAACTTATTGAGGGAGAGATATCATCGACAGATAATGAGGAAATAATCTTTTCTCATGCTATGGACCATATTTTAATTCCAAGAGCTTGTCTGATTAATTCTCAACTAAAATATGTAGACAGTAGATATAAAGATATGAAAGAATTCTAAATGGCACAACTTCCCAGAATCAGTGTCAAGGTAACAGTCCAACTGCTCATCAGAAGCAGAAACTGAGAACAAATTCACTGAGAAATATCTTTCAGAGACTGGAGAAGTCTCTTATTTTGAAAAGTTCTTCTCTGCTGCTATTTTCAGGCATTGAGTAATGCAAAAGATTTTCTAGGTGAACTCAGCTGACTACTTGTAAAAAAGTCAAATAATAGAAAAGGAGATGTAGAATTCTTTTTCTTTTTTTTTTTTCTTTTTGGAATATTTGGAGCTTTCTGGGAATGGTTTGGGAGCTTTTCCTTTACACCCAGGCTTTCTTCATAAAAATGAACACAAGTTTGTTCTATTCTCTAACTTTATAGTCTTTTACTTAAAAAAACTCCAGCCTAGTAGATGCATCTTTAGGGCATATGCCCAGCCACAACCCTCTTTCCCTTAGAGCTGCACTATCACTACCCACCCCCATGGGCAGGCCTAACAACAGTGCACACAACTCTTCCTCTTGGGCCATAGCAGATCAGACTAGAGGTAAACTTCTAAATATGGGGGGTCAATTTAGTCTTGTTTCCAGGAATTTGGAGTTGAGATTCAGAAATTCTAGCTGATTTATTCAGTTGTCTTAGCTGAGTAACACAAATTTCTGAAGAGAGGAAGGAATTTTCTATTGTGTTGGTCATTTTGAGTCACATTGGTTTCAAAAAAAAAAAGAGAAATAGGAAGCCAACATGCTGGGTATATACCCAAAAGAATAGAAATCATTCTACTATATATAAAAACACATGCTGATAGATAAAGTGAGGAGACCACATAGATGGACAGAATGAGAGCAAGAGTGAGAAAGGGAGACCAGAAGAGCCGTTGTCTTGGTTTTGGATGGGTTTCCTCTGATGTTCCTAGACTTTGCTAATGCCATTGATAGGCCTTTGATTCCATGGCATACCTCAAGGTCATCATAACATTTTGTCCCTTTTACTTGTCCTTTGTCCTTTTTGAATTAAGTGGGTTTTATTATTTGCAACCAAAAAACAAAAGTTAGTGGAATATTCACCCAATTGCAAAAGTAAATTTCGACAGCTCAACACACTCTTCGACTTCCACTGCTAGTGACTGATCACTTAGAAGGGTACTTGTAATGCCAACTCAGTAATCTCAAAGAACATACTGTTTATATCCCCACATTTCCATGGTTGTTTGTACCTTTGTCTTGAAGTAGAGCACACTCACTTATTATGTATCATTGCAGGAAAACAGACTTTAAGAATACATCATCAGCCAATATTTATGTCCATCACTGGAGCTAGGGGTCCTCTATACTATGTCTTCTCCTGTTATCACCACAGGAGTCATAAAGACCAAGATTCAAATCCTCCAGGCTTTCTTCAAATCCTCCAGGTTTTCCTCAAATGATGAAGTTCTGCTGATGTTAAAAATTAATGTAGACACCACACCTTCCTCTCTAGACTTCTTAGTTGCTTCTGTTGCAATTTATAATGTGGCTTTTTAATTTAATTTAATTTTAATTTTAATTTTTTGAAATATAATTTAATTGTAAATTCCAGGATACATGTGCAGGATATGGAGGATTGTTACATAGGTAAACATGTACCATGGTGGTTTGCAATTATTAAAAAGTCAAAAAAACAACAGATGCTGGCAAAGCTGTGGAGCAAGGGAATGCTTATACATTATTGGTGGGATGCAAATTAGTTCAATGACTGTGGAAAGTACTTTGGAGATTTCTCAAATAACTTAAAACAGAGTTACCAATCAACCCAGTAATCCCATTACTGGGTATATATCTAAAGAAAAATAAATTGTTCTACCAAATGTCACATGCACTTGTATGTTAATCACAGCACTATTCATGGTAGCAAAGACATGCAAACAACCTAAGTGCCCATAAACAGACTGGATAAAGAAAACAGGGTACATATATACCATGGAATACTATACAGCTATAAAAAAGAATGAAATCATGCCCTTTGCTGCAACATGGATGAAGCTGGAGGCCATTATCCTAAGTGAATTGATACAGGAAGGGAAAACCAAACACCACATGTTCTCACTTATAAGTGGAAGCTAAACACTCATGGACATAAAGACAGCAACAATATACACTGGGACTACTAGAAGGAGGAGGGAGGAAGGGATATACGTGTTGAAAAACTAACTATTGGGTACTATGCTCAGTACCTGGGTGATGGTATCAGTTGTATCCCAAACCTCAGCATCATGCAAAATACCCAGGTAATAAACCTGCACATGTACCCCATGCATGTAAAATAAGTTGAAGTTATTAAATAAATAAATACATGTATTTTTTAAAAAATTTAGTGTTTGTCTCTGAAAGCAATCTTATTAATCATATTGAGATTTTGCACTTATTTATCACCTACTGGTTTCCTCCAAGATTGGGAGCTGTGTTTAAATTCATCCTATATAATTAAGAAATTTTTTCCTTCTTCCGTTTTTTCCTTGAATTTCTATCAGCTTTCCTTCATTCGACCAATTATTATTGATCGCTCATCATGTTTTAGGCCATGTACTAGACCCTGGCTATATGGTGGTGAACAATAACAATGAAAAAGACTTGGTTTTCCTTTTATTGGGGGAAATAGATATTAAGTATATAAATGAGCATAATAATTAGCATTGGTGATAAAAGCTCTGAAAGAAACAAAGTGAAAATATGGAAGGCTACAGAGGAAACACAATTGCTAGAGGAGGCAGGGAACCCTTCTCAGCAGAGGTGACATTTTGTCCATGATGGGACAGCTGAGGTAAAAAGCCAAAGAAGTCAGCCTACAGACAGGGAAGTGAGGGTTTTGAGATCTTTAGGATTTGAAGTAAGGGTGGAGGGCAGTGAACTTTACCTATATGGAAACCCTGGGCTGGGAAAAAGTTTGGCATTTTGGAATATTTTAAGGGAAGCCAATGTGAAATCCATTTATAACAAATATTTTACAGTACCCCTTTTACTATCCTGAAATGAAATTCACATGTACTTACATACTTCATTTCAAAAAAAAATCAATAAAATGCCTTAACTGGGATACAATAAAGAAACAAAAGTCAATAAATATATTGCAAGTTAATAAGAATTTTAGGTGTGAATTGTTGACCACAGATATTCTAGAAGGTATAATGAAGTTGTCAGATGTTTGTAATCCAAACATCAAATCACTATGAATGAAACACAGCATAGTTATGTTGGTTGGTAACTCACATTTCATGAGTTAGGTTGCTATTGATGACTTGATATTCCTACATGAGGAACAATATTTGGTAAATTTCTGAATAAAATGAAATACCACTTCCCTTGATTAACACAGAAGTCATTTATATTAAAACCTCGCAAAAGTTATTTGTTAAATATAAAAAAAAAATCAGGTTTGGGTAATAAGTTTCAAAGAAATGTTTTAACTTACATGAATATTTAGTGGGATATTCTAAAGTTGTGTGGAATGAAGGAAGTTTCTTCACCATGCTAGCTCAACCCATTAAATGTTAATAGGGACCTCCAGTCACTCTGATAAGTAAAAATGTACTTCCCAGGGAATGTGCTACATCCTTAAGAGTCATTGGAGTTAATTAAGCCTTATGACTAATTGGAAGAGATACTCAAGGCAAGGCTGGAGAATGGGCAGGGCTGGGTCATCCAGAAAGTCTACAACCCAGCAGGCTGGTCAAAGAGTTGCAGGCCCCTCCTTCAAGGTCTCATGGGTCTTTGCCATAAACTTTTAACTTTTTAGTCTTTTGGCTTTGTTTGTTTTATGACTATTTCTTATAAACAACATATTTTTTTCTGAGTTGTTTTTAGACTCACTTTAAGAGACATTATCAACCCTTTGGGTCTCTAGGTTGCAAATCACTGCTGTATATACACAAACTGGAGCAGTGCCGATAAACAGAGGCTGCTCAAAACGTATTTGATAAACAAACACAAATCAACTACTTCCTTTAATTTTCTTAAATCTTTTAGAAGTTATACATCCTGATTTTATTTTATATGTGTTATTTGTAAACTTTCCTAAACCATTCATTAATATTTTCTGTAATTACCAAAATTAAGAGTGAACTAGTTTATTTTGAAACCTCTTTATTCAAGAGTGCTTCTATTCTTCCCTTATTACTTGTCTTTGGTTAATCAAATCTTGGGATTTAGATCTATTTTATAACTAAGACTTTGTTTCATTAAGAAACCTTTCTTTTTGACATTTACCTCTAGTTTTATAACTAGATTTGCAATTATTTGGATATCTGATTTTAATTGATCTCCATGTTCACTGCCTATTCTTTTATGCTGACTTTTCTGTTCCTGAGTTGTTAATTATATCTCTTCTTCTTTTTGTCTTCAAATTTTTTTTCAAGAGGGTTACAAAGGTGGCATCTTTCTAGAGACCTCATATTTGATCACCTTCAGTAAGAGGCCACTTGGATAAGTATTGAATTCTTGGGTTACAACCCTTGAATAATTAGCTCCTGAATAACTGAGAGTTGATTTGAATAACGTAGCATTTTAAAGAACACCATTTCCGAGAACACCGTTATTTACACTGTTTTGAAATGTAAATTTTTCAGAATCAATTTTTGTTTCAGCTTCTGTATGTGGAGCAACTTCTTTATTGCTAGATATGAGATGCCCTATCCCATCTCTTCCCTTAGAAGATCAGATACGACAGAGACAGCAGAGGATTTGGCAGTCATTTATTCTTTCATTTGTTCAACCAAGAATACAAAGGTGTATGATTCACCTAACATTTATTGAGCAGTTACATTTTTGCTCATAAACACCATTCAAAAGAAGAGAAGGTTATGATCCCTGACATTTGAGGAATTTACTATCTGTTTGGAGATAAGAAATCCATAAAAATAACTGGAGAGCCAATTTTAAGGCAGTGTACAAATAAAGCATGTCTGTAAAGCAATGAGATAGATGTTTCATGCTAGAAGTAAAAAACTAATGTCTCTACACACTTAATATACATAAAAGTCATAAAACTACTTATTTATTTAATTTTGCATTTGGTGTTTGCCCATCTCTGTTTAGCATATTGAATACCTATCTAAAAGTGATTAAAATTGAGTGAGGAACTCAAAGAGTTTATAGAACAGTGAGAAAGAGAATCCAGTCATAAGAAAATGCATCTGGAGTAAAACTGGATGTACAGACTTCCTGGAATGGGCATATATTTATGCTACCTCAGTGTGTTATTTGAGTAGATATGTAGTTAAACAGAAAGGATGTAAAACATCAGGCTGAAGGTAAAATGCCATTATGTTTATGTTTTTTTTCTTTTGTTGAGTGCAGGGGACTTTATTGATGGTACATGACAAGGTGGGGCTCCCTAGGCTTCTCCCATTTTTCAGGGGGTCTGGTGTGGAAACTGTGTTGAAGGGAGAGTCTCAGCATGTCAGGGACAGAATGTGGCAGCGACTTGCTAGCCCCTGAGGACCTCTTTTCCTATTGTTTTCTCACTGGGGCTGATAGTCTAGGACAGTGTGGCAGGGACTTGCTGCAGCTGAGGGCCTCTGTTTTCTTGTTGTGTTCTCACTGGGGCTGATGGTCTAGGGGGCTCTTACTCCTTGGAGGCCATGTGTACCATAAAGTCTACCACCCTGTTGCTGTAGCCAAATTCATTGTCATATCAGAATATGAGCTTGACAGAGTTATCGCTGAGGACAATGCCAGCCCCAACGTCGAAAGTGGAAGGTCGATGTCACTGTTATAGTTGGAGGAGACAACTTGGTGCTCAGTGTAGCACCACGATGCTCTTGAGGGGCCCTTCCGTGCCTCCTTCATTACCTTCTTGGTGTTACCATATTTGGCAGGTTTCTTTAGATGGCAGGTCAGGTCCACAACCAACATGTTGGCAGTGGGGACACAGAAGGCCATGCCAGTGAGGTTCTCATTCAGTGTGGGGATGACTTTGCCTTGGCAACACTAGTTAATTGCAGGGGTGATGTCTGTGGAGCTCCATAGCTGTCATCCCAGTTTCCGAGAGGGGTTGTCTTCGTCTTCTGGGTGGCAGTGATGGCATGGACTGTGGTCATGAATCCCTCCATGATGCCAAAGTTGTCATGGATGACCTTGGCTGGGGGTGCTAAGCAGTTGGTGGAACAGAAAGCATTGTTGATGATTGTGAAGTTGTTTTTGTTTTTCTCATGATTCACACCCATCACAAACATGGGGGCATCAGCAGAAGGGGGAGAAATCATGTCCCCTTTAAGTGAGCCCTAGTCTTTTCCAAGGTAGTGATGATGCTGGTGGATTCCACAAGATAATCAGCACTGGCATCCCCTTGTTTGATTTGGATGGGATCTTGCTCCTGGAAGATGGTAATGGGATTGCCATTGATGACAAGCTTCCCATTCTCAGCCTTGATGGTGCGTGGAACTTGCCATGGGTGGAATCATACTGGAACATGTGGACCATGTAATTGAGGTCAATGAAGAGGTCACTGATGGTGACAATAACCACTTTGCTACAGTTAAAACTGTCCTAGTGATCAGGCACCCAGTAAGGCCAAATCCGTTTACTCTGGCCTTCACTTCAACCTTCGTGTCTCAGGGACATGGCTGGCACTGCACAAGATGTGACTGTCTATGGAATGGGAGGAGCAGAAAGCCTATATTTATGATTTTTATATAATCACATCAGCACGGAAGAACTGTTGGTGCCTAGTATGCATCTTGCATATTTGGCATCCAAAACTATTGCTTGATTTGATTTCGTTTCAATCTAAAACTTTTTTTTTTTGTAATATTAACATTTGGGGGAATTTATGCTCAGCTGCTCTTCAGAGAATAGAACACAGAGATGGTAGAATTGGTAAACTGTAAACTAGTGTGGATGAATCTTTTGTAATGGTTGATTTTGTGTCACAGGGTGCCCAGATATTTGGTTAAACATTTTTTCTGTGTGTGTTTGTGAGAGTATTTCTGGATAAGATTAACATTTGAATTAGTAAACTGAGTATAGCCGATTGGCCTGCACAATGTCCCCAGGCCTCATCCGATCAGTTGAAGATTGAATAAAAACAGAAGGCTGAGTAAGGAAGAATTCACTCTCTCTGCTTGACTCCCTTTGAGCTGGGACATCAGTCTCCTCCTGCCTTTGGACTTGGACTGAGACTGAAACTTACACCATCAGCTCTCTTGCTTCTTGGGCCTTCAGACTTGGACTGGAGCTATACCATCAGCTCTCAGCTCTCTTTGAGCCTGCTGACTTTCCTAGCTTGCAGATCTTAGGACTTGTCAGCCCTCATATTGCATGAGCCAATTCTTTATAATAAATCTCTCTCTCTCCTCACACACATGCGTGTGCATACACACACACACACACACACAAACACACACACACACACACACACACACACACACACTAGTGGTTCCGTTCTCTGGAGAACCCTAATACACATTTTGGTATGGAGTCTAGAGGAACAGAATCTTAAGAATGAGCTTTCTGAATTGGTTCTGGGGTTTTGGAATTGGCTCTGTAATGTAATTGGATTTAGAGATTCTCATAACTCTATTTCCAGTAGTAAAGAGAGCATTGATAGTACATGTTGTGCTCTGGTGATAGCGATATACAAAATAGCACCATTTGATACTCTGAACCACTTGTAGGAAGTAAAGATCTGAATGACTGTTTATGTGAGACTTTCTAACATTTTTGGCAAACTAATGAGTATAATGAGATTGACTGGTTGCTCCTATTGTCACTAGACAAAGTGGGAAAAATAAAGGATGAGCTCAGGGATTTGAATATGATAAAGATCAGTGTCCCAGAGGCTGATGGGTGGATCATAGGAATCCCTTAGCCTATTTACCTGAAAGGGTGCTTGTACCAGGTGTTAACAGACTGGGTGAGTAATTTGAGGGACTTGCTCCAATACTGGGAAAAATGAAAACATGAGGCCATCTTGGAAAGTTTTTAAGAGCAGAGATAAGCTTTGCTCATCTTTGAAAAAATTGCACATCCATGGGCTTGGTACCTTTTTACTGTTGTGTGTTTAATAAAGGCTGGTTAAACTGGGCCACATTCTTGATGATGGAGCATTTCCCTTCCTGTTGAGGCTTTTCAATGGCAATAGAATTGCCTAGTAGCTGAAGAATGAGTGCTGAGGTGCAATGTTCTGGCAAACTAATAAGGAAAGTTTATTGATATAAGTTTGCCTTACTCCAGAATAAGTATTTTTTGGCTGGCAGTGTTTTTTTATTTTATAGCTGTCTTGACTACTAGCAAGAAACTCAGGGTATATAAATTCTAACTTGGTTTTAACAGTAGGAGAGCACATGGCATCTCTTGGCCTCAGATCCCTCTCCTTCAATTTAAGTAGGATAATCATATTAACCAAATCATCAGGCTGTTATAAAATATATTTTAATAAAAATATCCCCATACCAAAGAATCCCTTTGGTGATTAAGAAAAAGTTGGTATAATGAGGTTGTAATCTCCAGCTCAGTAGGAGGGAGAGAACTACAATGGGAAGTATTGAGATTCTTCAACCCCATCAGGGAACAATTACAATAATAACCATAATAACAATAATAATAGCAAAAAACCCAATAGTACTTGCCATTTATATTACGTTAGAGCCAGAAATTCTATACAGAAGGAGGGTGGCACCCTAGTTGGAAGGACGGAGCGAGGCTAGGAGACACCTTGTGGTTGAATTGGTATAGCACTTTACCTTCGATTGAGAAGATGACAACTGTTAGGATCAAAGAATGGGGATGGGCTGGGTGCAGTGGCTCACACCTGTAATCCCAGCACTTTGGGAGACCAAGATGGCGGATCACCTGAGGTCAGGAGTTTGAGACCAGCCTGGCCAACATGGTGAAACCCCGTCTCTACTAAACATATAAAGTTAGCTGGGCATGTTTGCGGGCACCTGTACAGCTACTTGGGAGGCTGAGGCAAGAGAATCACTTGAACCCGAGAGACGGAGGGTGCAGTGAGCCAAGACCATGCCATTGCACTTCAGCCTGGGCAGCAAGAGTGAAACTCCATCTCAAAAAAAAAAAAAAAAGAAAGAAAAGAAAAGAATGGGGATGGGGCAGATGAGTGGAGGTGAGGAATAGGGATGGGGGTGGCACATATCCGGCTACCTCAATCTTGTGAGCTGAACTTTTCTAAGCCAAGCAGGCACCTCACTACCAAATGAAAGACCCAGTGATGATTTAAAATGCATATAATCCAAGCCTGTGCCTTTGACAGTCAGTTTTCTCTAAGAACTTATCCCTAATGTTGACAGGATACCCAACTAATTATCTTTGGTCACTTAATTAATTAATTCCTACAAGAAATTTAACACCTGAACCCTCTTCTCACTCCCCAGAAACTACTTCTTTATGGCTGATGCATGGTGCTTTGCCATTTCAGAACTTGAAATAGTTTATTCACATCAATATACCTACTGCAGATATAATTCCTGTATAGTCTTTGTTCAAAGAAAGTATTATTTGTTCTTTAATTTTTGTTATGTCATTCTCTCACAGGATGGTGCTAGCATATATAAGACTGAAACACCAAAGGCCTCCGTGGAAGTTAATGAACTTCTGTGAGTGCACTTTATATTATATAGGAAGTTGTTTGGTAGCAAGTAGCACATATTTGGGTGATAAGGGATTAATATGCTTCCATCTACATAAAAGTTCAAAGTTTGATTATTATGCATTGCATATCAGGGTGGATGACTAGTTTTGATTTTGTCAGGATAAATGTGTTCTCCCTGCTCCAACCATTATGCCAAGGATGGCCTTATTCTAGAACCTCCTAATTCTGTTTTGAACATTCCTAGTCATCATTCCTAAAAATGAAATATTATATACTAGTACATGAGCTCATGAGAGCTTTCATAGCTGTAATTAAAGATGCATAAAAGGCACGTAACACTTTCAACTCAAGTCACATGCTGGTCTGTTTTATCAACTATTCGCAAAGGTTCTCCTGATTGGTGATTAAAAGTGGATTAACAATTCGACTTTTTTCTTCAGGGTTATGAGTTGGATTCTTCAGCGGAGTATTTGAGCCATGCCTTGAGGCACATACTTCAAGTTGCTGCATCCAGTTTTAAACTCCAGATTGAGCTTTACATATTAAACGTGCACATTTGTTTTCACATTTTTGAGCTTTGCCAGTGGCACCCTCTCTAATTAATCATCCCGCAGGCTTAGAAAACTTCTGCCCAATCCTTTCTGATTTGTTAAAAGAAAGAGAGAAGGTTTTAGTCTGAAAAAGGCCTTATCTGATAGACATCACATTATACGGATTTTTACATTTAAGTACATTTTCTTTTTAAATCCGGTGGCTTTCCCAAACTAGAAAGATGGAGTGTTTGCATACATCCACCAACCACCAACATCAGCAGAAAGAAAGCTTGATACAGTAAAGGAAAGAAATGGCAATTTAACAGTTCTTTTATTTTCCATTCAGATCACGTACACGTTAACCAAATGAGGCCTCACAGCATGGAATCTGATATCATAGCAATGTTTTCAGGAAGCAATAATTTAATACTCCTCATTAAAAAGGGTCATAAAAGAATCCTATTAAAACCAATATGAATAATAAACCTTGAAAATGCTGCTTTAAATTCCAAGAGGATGGCGAAGATCTGCGTCAGTAACAGTCTTCCTGTTCATAGAGTGATTTTGAAAATCTCCTGGGCTGAATTTTTCCAAGCCAAGCAGGCATCTCACTATCCAGTGAAAGACCCAGGGACTATTTTGAATGCATTCAATCCAAGCCTGTGCCTTCCACAATCAGTTTTCTCCAAGAATTTATCCCTAATCCTGACAGGATACCCAACCGAAAGGCTAATTATTTTTAATCACTTAATTAATAGATAATTCTTACAAAGAGCCCAACACCTGAACCCACCAAGTCCTCTTTGCATGGGCAAATCCAGCTGGTTTGATGCACTAATTTCACTAAATGAAAATTTGGACAAATTGTATGTTACTGCCAATAATGGTAAATGTATCCAATTCAAAAATAGTAATAAAAAAGTTATTTTTTTGTTCCCTTTTTAATCACAGAGGCAGCTGTGGTAGGCCCCAAATGCACAGGGCATATGGCTCACCTCACCACCCCAGATGGTGCTACTGGCCCAGCCTTCCCAGCGTCCACCCTGGCAGTCTTTCCTCATTCCCTTGGCCCTCACCCTGTCTCCTCAGCCTTCCAGCTGCACTGCTATTGTAGGCTGCTCTTTCTCCACAATCTCCTCTTATTTTCTGTGATGTCTCAGGATGTTTCTTCTTCTCAGGGGTTTTTCAAGCTTCTTCCACACTCAGGTGCTCAGACCTTTTTATGGTCTGGCTTCTGAAGGAGATCAAAATTCATATGGACAAGCATTTGTGTATTAGCCAAGAGTTGCTAATGCATTTCTTGATTATAAGTCTCAGAGAAATGGGATGAAAGATCTTAGATTTTTATACACTCTGGTTCAATGGTTTCTCAGCTTTTCTGATCTGAAAAGAATAAAGGACACCTTTTAGCTAAGCACTTTCTGTTTTATTTCTTATAATGCCATGTAGTGGCTGTTATTGGCAACACAGCAGTCATTTAATAAACCCTGAATGTCTGTAGCATTTCTTCTCATTCATTTCAGTGAGTGCTGTTCTTTTCTGTGTTTATTTTTTATTTTTTTTCCATGCAGCATTTCTTGCACCCTCTTATTACTCCTCAGCCTTTGGATTCTAGATCAGTGGTTCTCAAACTGCCTGCATCAGAACACCTGAAGGGCTTGTACAACACAGATTGCTGGATCTCATTCCCAGAGTTTATTAATTGTTAGGTCCAGGTGGGCCAGGGAATTTGCATTTCTAACATATTCTCAGGTGATTCTGCTGCTGCTGGTCCAGGCACAGCACTTTGGGAAATGCTGCTCTAGAGAGAAGAGAAACTAGAGGTTAAGTGTTTTAGCTTGAGGGTCAGTTGTAATCCCTGCTTCACTACCTTTCTAGCTGGGTAGTCTCTCAGCTGATAAAGGTCCCCCAAGTTCAGTTTCTTCACTCTTAAAATGAGTTTATTAAAACATCCCTAGCAGGGTTGTTTAAAGGAAGAAATTATGTAATGTTTATTAAGCCTTTGAAAGAAAAGCGATCATGGTGGGTGTTTTGCTGTTATTACTTTTTATTTCTTCCTGAGGACTCAGTTTTCAGAACTTCTAATTGAATCATAAAGGATCCTTCAAGCATCCAATTTGGTTAAGGAAATTGTGTGTCTGTTTAGAAAATAAGAAAATGAAATCCTTTTGAGAGGATCTTGACCAGATAGATTCTAAAATCTATCTGGACCTGCTAAACAATAGTCAAGAGAATTTTGAAAGGAGACACCTCTTTTGATGTGAGTCTTACCACAATCAAAACAGTCACAAGAAATCAAAATATGTTATAAAGTCACAAAAATCACAACAGCATGGTATTGGCTTAGGAAAATGTAAATCAATTAAATGACCAGAGTAAAAAATTCTATATCACATTGAGAGACAGAACTAGCTGGATTTCCTAGGCTGACTAAGAATTCTTAAGCCTAGCTGGGGAAGGTGACCGCACCACACCTACCTTTAAACACAGGGCTTGTAACTCAGCTCGCACTCCACCAATCAGGTAGGAAAGAGGGCTCACTAAAATACTAATTAGGCTAAAAGCAGGAGGTAAAGAAATAGTCAAATCATATATCGCCTGAGAGCACAGGGGGAGGGGCAATGATTAGGATATAAACCCAGGCATTCTAGCAGGGAGGGGCAACCCCCATTGTATGGGAGTTCTGTTTTCACTCTATTAAATCTTGCAACTGCAGACTCTTCTGGTCTGTGTTTGTTATGGCTCGAGCTGAGCTTTTGCTCACTGTCCACCACTGCTGTTTGCCGCTGTCGCACACCCGCCGGTGACTTCCTCCCATCCGGATCCAGCAGGATGTCCGCTGAGCTCCTGATCCAGTGAGGTGCCCATTGCCACTCCAGATCAGGCTAAAGGCTTGCCATTGTTCCTGCACGGCTAAGTGCCCAGGTTTGTCCTAATTGAGCTGAACACTAGTCGCTGGGTTCCACTGTTCTCTTCCATGACCCATGGCTTCTAATAGGGCTATAACACTCACCGCATGGCCCAAGGTTCCATTCCTCGGAATCCGTGAGGCCAAGAACCCCAGGTCAGAGAACAAAAGGCTTGCCACTATCTTGGGAGTGGCCCGCCACCATCTTGCGAGCTCTAAGGACAAAGAACCGCCAGTAACAACATGCAGGCACACACACATACGCACATACTCATATATATCGATATAGATATAGATATATAGATATAGATATCTATATCTATGTCTATATAGATATATCGATATATATGAGTATATATAAGTGTGTGTATATGTGTGTGTGTATGTGTGTATATATATATATATGAATATTATTTCAAGCTAGTGAGGGAAATACAGAGCGTTAAGTGATATTGGGGCAATTAATTATTGATTTGAAAACAACTTTGATATTTGTCTTATATCACACAAAATCAACTTCTGGATTGGTTTTTAAAGCTTAAAAAAATCAAAAGAAAATATAATGTAATATTTCTATTATATTGGGGAATAAAAGGAAATAAAGGTAAAAATGTTAGATTTGAAGTGACAGAAATTTGAAATTTCTGTATGAAAAAGGTGTTTATTATGGATAAAGTTGAAAGACAAAATAGACTGGAAGAAAATATTTCAACCAGATTATGGAAAAGGATTAATACCTGGATAATAAAACTACCTTATCAAAGCAACAAAATACATACAATACAATAAAAATACAAGTAAAGCATATCAATAGCCAATGCAGAAGAAAAGGAAGAGGAAGAGGAAGAAGAGGAAGAAATAATAATAATATTAATAGAAATGCCAGATAAAGATTGGTAAGATTTAGCACTGTTAAGGTTATGAAAACCCTGTCACTATCATTCAGTGTTCCTGGAAATGTAAATTTATCCAGCTTTTTGATGAGAAAACTTAAAGTGCACATATGCTTTGAAACATACAGTCCACTTCTAGAAATATATGCAATAGAAGGATTTTTATGTAGGCACAATAATATATTCACAGGAATTCTTGAGGCATTTCTATTAATACTAAAAAATTAAAAACAATCTAAGTGTGCATTAACAGGAAAATAGTTAATTATATTATGGTACATCTACATTATGGGATACACATGTAAAAGGCAGGACTTGAAATTACAGCAAAATGAAAATCAGATATCATGAGACCCTTTGCTAGGTAAAATATAACTATCCACTGAAAGGCATAATTGAACTTGGAAGAAAGTAGGAAATTTTCACAGGGGCCAAAAAGATGAATTAGAAAACCAGAATGTTAAGCAAGCCCAGAATGTTCTGAAGACATTTGTTTAGAGTGGAATTTGGAGATAGTGAATAGGTGACAAATTCTTGGGCCTGTGTGGGATGGGGAGCTGGAACTGAGGCTTCAGGATAAAATGATTCATTGTGGTAGATCTTCTGTGAAAGAATGTGCTAAACATCTGCAACTGATAGTTAAGGAAGATGAAAAAGACACTTGTTTGTCTCAGACTGGCCCTGAGGGGGAAAATTAAATATATGTAAACTTCTTCACATTAATCAGAAAACCCTGATATAGTCCAACAGATAAATGGGAAAAAATACACGCAATTTTCAGAAGAGGAAACATGAATAGCCAATAAGTATACAGAAGAGGCTTAAATCCCCTAGTGATTAGGAAATTGCAATGTAAAATCAAAATGAAATATCCATCAGATTGGCAAACCATTACAGGTCAGAGGATACCTATTATTAGAGTATCAGAACTTATGGTGGGAGAATACAATGGAACAACTACCTTGCACAATAATATGGCAATAACTAGAAAATTAAAGATACAATATCCTATGAATCATCAATCTATTTCTACATTCATACCTTAGAGAAACTCCTATACAAGCACACAATGATGAATTTACAAGAATAATAATAGCATTTGTAATAGCAAAAAATTATAAACAACCAAAGTATTCAACAAGAAAATAATGTATAAATTATGATAAATCAAATAGTAGATGACATATTGCAGTGAAAATTAGGAAACTAGAGGACCCAGATTATCCTTACAAAATAATTTTGAGTGAAAAATTTAAGTTGTAGAGAAATACATACACTTTGGTACTGGATAGGGATAAAGTTTAAAAACATGCAAAATAATACTGAATTCAGCTCAGAAGTATATACATTTCTATTTGTAGGAAAAAGTAGAAATGGATGGGTTTGATAGATGCATTTATAAAAATTATTGTCTTGGGTGGGGCCATGGGAAGGTCAGGTTGTTGTGGGATACACAAAGTGGAACAAAATTTAGTGACTGGTGATAGGTAAGAATGTAATAAATGTTGACACATTTCAGAATATTTTCAATCTTTCCAAATGACAATTATGTAGATTACACATCAACCTGGAGAAAAATTTTGATGCAATTAATGAAAACAATACAAACTAGAGATATGTATATTACGCTACATTAAAAAATGCAGGCGCATGGAGATGAAGGTTGAAAGGTATCGAGCAAAAATGGAAATAATTCTGTTAGAGTAGTCTGATTAATAAAAATTATCTTTAATTTTGATATATCATATTTTCAACTCTTAATCTTTTTTTAGATTTCCTTAAGAATCCGATAAAAAGACTTCCAAACACTGTAACTATTAATCTGATAACTCAATCAAAATCAAAATAATCTATCATTCAGAACTTTTACAGCTCAGAGCCACTAAAATATGCAAAAGGTCTGAAGGAGCTAACTGAAGCACCTGTAATTTTTGTTATGGATAAAGTATATATGGCAGATTGTATTATTTAAGCAACTTTTATATCAATTTGAAATTTAAAAATGAAATGCTAAAATATTCATGTGTAAAAAGTAAATACAGAGTAAAGATTCTAAAAAATAAGAGCAGTGAGAATTATTGAAATGTATATTAAAACATATTTTAAAGCTTCTGTCATCAAAAGAATATGATACTGGAGGCAAATAACTAGACTTGATGCTTGCTACTCAGTTGGGAACAATGGAATCAGGAGCTATACCCAACCATTTGGTGAGACTACTGGTCTCAAGGTGGTTCAAGTTAGTTGCTTCAGACCTTTCACATATTTCACATATTTTAGTGGCTCTGAGCTGTAAAAGTTCTGAATGACAGTTTATTCAGATTTTGACTGAGTTATCACATTAATACTTACAGTCTTTGGATTTTTTTTTTATTCTTACGTGAATCTAAAAAATGGCTAAAAATCACTTGGCATTAACAAGGCTACAGAAGCTCTGCCACAGCTCCCTAAGTCCTGGATATCCCCACCACTGTGCTTTCCCAAGTGGTCATTGCTTCAGGCTGCCCTTTCCACATGCAGTTCTCATTCGAATGCATCTAGTTGGCATAACCTGGGCCACATTGCCCACTTACTAGGGAGAAGAAAGTGTAAGAAATTTAGAATTTATAAATCTACCTTGGGAGGGTGGGACATACAATATACAAAACTACCAAGATATTGAGGAGATGTTTAAATTTGCTGGTCAATCAAGAATATAGATGGCCATCTAATTCCTGACTCAGGAAATGACTATTCTTATAAAGGTGTCCACAAAGGGACACCAAGGCTTGGACAGAAAGATGGCATAGAATTGAATGAAGAGAAAAGTCCAGAGAAACTAGACTAAGGGGTCTCAAACTTGAATGTGCATTGGAATCACGCAGAGGGTTTGTTGAAGCACAGATTGTTTGGCCCCAGCTCCTTGCAGTTTCTGATGCAGGAGTCCTGGGGTGGGACAGAAGATTCTACAGTTCTCATAGAGTCCCAGGTACTCTTGATAATGACAATCCTAGGCTCACATCCTGAGAATCACTGAACTACTTAGACCATACATATTTCCTTCTGTAATAGCTGGTTTTCACAAATTCACAAATTCGAGTTTTCACAAGTTCAGTCTTAATGTCAGATTGAAAGTTGGTAGCAAAAGTACAGTATAAATTATTAGTAATTTTATATTTTTTGAGTAAGTTTACTTAAATTGAAAAACGGAACATACTGGCACATGAATAGATAGACCACTGTAAGTAATAGAAAGTTCAGGGCTGGGCATGGTGGCTCACACCTGTAATCCCAGAACTTTGGGAGGCCGAGGCGGCAGATCATGAGGTCAAGAGATTGAGACCATCCTGGCCAACATGGTGAAACCTCGTCTCTACTAAAAATACAAAAATTAGCTGGGCGTGGTGGTGTGTGCCTGTAATCCCAGCTACCAGGGAGGCTGAGGCAGGAGAATCGCTTGAACCAGGGAGCCGCTTGGAGTGCAGTGAGCTGAGATTGTGCCACTGCACTCCAGCCTGGCGACAGAGCAAGACTCTGTCTCAAAAAAAAAAAAAGATAGTAACTTCAGAAACAGAGACAGTATATACAGAAAACAGTATATACATAAATTAACTATAGAAAGTAAATATAAATTTGTACATTAAATTACTGTGAACAGGACAGATAAAACGGTTTTGGAAAAACTGGATAATTTTGGAAAAAATAGAGTCCATATTCATAGTATACATTTAAATAAACTCCAAATAGATCATCAGTTTTAATGAACTCATGACTTTAATAGATTCTCTTTCCTATCTCTGTCCACTGAAAGGGCCAAGATGCAGTGACACGTTGCAAACAAGGTTATATTAGTTTCCAAATACTATTCCCACCAAAAGGGCAGGACTCCCTGGAGTAATACATGATTCCAGGTCTTGCATTAGGTAAACATGAAACATCTTGTGCCAGAAAGCAAGGAATTGCTGAAAGAGTGATGGGAAGATGTCAAAAGAACATAGGAATGACCACCTGACTGGCTAAATTTGAGACAATGTGAAAATAAAAAAAAGACAATGATAGATTATAGAACATTGAATATCCAGAAAATAATGACAAGGACCCTCAGACTAATCCAGATTGTAGGACATTTCCTAAGACAATTGATCTGAACTCTTCAAAAAATGTCAATGTCATGAAACACTGAAATGAACAAAAAGGCAGGACACTGTTTAAGTTAAAGAGGAATAAAGAGACATAAAAACTAAACGGCATGTGTGAACCTTGATTGGATCTTAGATTACAAAACACAGTTATAAAGGATATCTTTGTAGATAATCAGGAAAATCTGAGTATGGACTGTGTATTAGAAAATATTGTATCAATGTTAAATTTCTTGGGTATGATAATGGCATTGCGTTTATTTAAAAGAATGTTCTTGAGATTTTCATGAGATGTAAGTAGTGATGAGGTGTTACAATATCTTTAACTTATTTTCAAGTGGTTTTTTCATGAAGTGTACATGTCTGTCAAAGAGAGGGATAGGATACCAAGAGATAAAGCAATGTGAGAAAATGTTAACAACTGGTGCATCTAAGTGAGGATATATGCTGTTCATTGACCTGTTCTTTCAATTTCCTATAGCTTTGCAATTCTTCAAAATAAAAAGTAGAGAATAAAAATAAATAATATTAAATAATTAAATTACCATTTATATGTAAATAATATTCATAGATCATGCTATTATGTCAAATTCTTTATAAATTAAGGCAAATGTAAGAAATAAATGTACGAGTATATAAAGGAATAAATGATGTAAGTAGAAACCATCTGTCTCCTTACTTGGTAGATGAAGACACAGATCCATGAATAAATGATCTCCCCTAAGGTCACCCTCTAATATGTGTAAGATTCCATTTCTGGGAGCTTTATATGGCAACTGAACATCAAATATGGTCCTTTGAATACTTGAAATTTTCTTTCCAGTTTGTTGGTTTGAAGAAGCACATTGTGTTACACCTTATCAAAGAGAACAGACCTTTTGAGGATTTTGTTTTTCTTTTTGTAGCTGCTATTTTTATCTCACATTTCAGTAGGGATTGAAATATCAGTAGGGATGCTTTCTGTTTCTCAACCCAATTCTTTATAGAGTGGTTCTTAACCCATTTCTTCATAGGTGGTTGGAAGTCCATTAGATCTGTGGAATAAAGTAATAGAGATGCTGAAACGAACAATAAAGCCAGGATGTTAAAATAGATTCTAGTCAAAACTTAATATTCTGAAAATGTACATGGTCCTCTGTTCCTCTGAGTTAAGCAAGGATTCACTTTCCAACCATGGATCGTCACGGATCATGATGTCATACATCATTATCACTACCACCTGCCTGGACAAGGAAACTGTGTGACACCACTGATTGTTCCAGCAGTGCAGTTGGAGTGCTGGCTCCATTTCTTGCTCTGCTTCTTACTGGCAGCGTGACTTGGAGCAAGTTACTTAGCCTCTCTAGTCTCAGTTTCTTCCAGGGAAACTGAATGGAAATAACAGTATCTAATTGATAGATTTGTTGAGAAGATTAAATGAGAATGGTCATAGCACAGGGCCTTGTATATAGTAAACATGTAGTTTTTTTTTATTAAGCTCTATATTATTAATTAGATATTTCTCAAAAGACTAGAAAAAATTTAAATGGTTTCTGTTTTACAGATCTCTCTGACCTTTCTATTTTCACATTTACATATTATGATGACTTAACTAGAAATTGTCGCCCATAAAAACTAGAAACTTTTAATTTAATTAATTTATTTATTTAGAGGTGGAGTCTCACTCTGTCACCCAGGCTGGAGTGCCGTGGCATGATCTCGGCTAAAGCCCTGGTTCAAGCAATTTCCCTGCCTCAGCCTCCCAAGTAGCTGGGATTACAGGAGCCCGCCACTGCGCCCGGCTAATTTTTTTGTATTTTTAGTAGAGACGGGTCTTGTTGGCCAGACTGGTCTTGAACTCCTGACCTCAGGCAATCTGCCCACCTCGGCCTCCCAAAGTGCTGGGATTATAGGCATGAGCCACTGCGCCCTGCTGAAACTATATTTTTGACATGAAAATACATTTAACAAAATAATTTCTGTCTGCCATGCTTCCAGAATTTTTATTTTGGTCATGTGCAATTGTTTAATATATGTTTCTTCTTATATATAGATAGAATCTATTAAAGTCATGAGTTCATTGAAATAGATGATCCATTTGGAGTTTATTATAATGCATGCTATGAATATGGACTCTTTCCAAAATTATCCGGTTGTTCCAATGCCATTTTGTCTATTTTGTTCACACTAATTTAATATACAAATTATTATATACTTTCTATATTTACTTGAATCTAATTTCTGTATAAAATATATAGGAAATATTACTGTGATATATAAGCCAAAGTTAGGGATTTTTTTCAGACTTTTATATGGAAACTGGTGCTAGTAATGCTTTTATTCTCACATTTTTTTCTGTGGAGTAATTTCATACTTGATTGGCTTTTACAATATGTTTAAGGATTTGGAGTTAAACATGGACATTCAGCAATGAAGATTTAGGGTTCAACAAGAATCACTATTAATCTGACTTCTTCCCATTTCTTTACTTCATATAAAATCAAACTGCCGTTGGCTAATTTGCTCATTCTTCTCTAAGTATTTGTCAAGTGGCTGCTATGTTCAGTGTTAAGGGGAAAAATGTAAGGAACAGTACCTCTTCTCTAGGAACAACCGATATAATTAGAAATATAAATTATACACATAAACATGTATATAAGAATGGATGATAATATATAAATGGCCAAAATGAGTGGTGTAGGTGGGTGAAGGTCAAAAGAGCCAGAAATGGTCAGGAAGAGACCCCCTTGGGCTTGTGTTAAATGAGTTACTTTTTAAAGAATGAGCAATAATTATCTGGAAAAGAAGGGAGAAGTATTTCTATGTGAGGGGAACTGCATGATCAAAGACTTAAAATGGAGACTTAAGCCGGGCTGGTGGCTCACGCCTGTAATCCCAGCACTTTGGGAGGCCGAGGCTGGCGGATCACGAGGTCAGGAGATCAAGACCATCCTGGCTAACATGGTGAAACCCTGTCTCTACTAAAAATACAACAAAAATTAGCTGGGCGTGGTGGCGGGTGCCTGTAGTCCCAGCTACTGGGGAGGCTGAAGCAGGAGAATGGCATGAACCTGGGAGGCAGAGCTTGTAGTGAGCCGAGATCGCGCCACTGCACTGCACTCCAGCCTGGGCGACAAAGCAAGACTCCGTCTCAAAAAAAAAAAAAAAAAAAAAAATGGAGAGTTAGCTCAACATGTTGTCAAAATAATGAAATAATAAGCAATCTAGAGTGTAGGAAAGGTTTTTGGAGAAATCAGAGATAGGTAGTGGAGAGAGATATTGCAGAGCATCTTAGCTAGAGAAATCATGTATTTTGCCCCGGAGGAAACAGAAAGCTTTAGAGGATATTCAGCAGTGGGATAACTTGATGAAATAATATTTTATGGAAATTTAAAATGTGTTGGTATAATTAAAAGGATGGAGCAAAAGAAGCTGGGAGCAGAGAAAAATGATAAAAATATGCTCTGCATTTAGTTTTCCCAAGGAAGATGATGCTGGACATGTTGCATTTACCAGAATAGTAGAACACACACACGGGAATTCAGGGCTGCAGATAGAGCCTGAGTTATTATTCAGAGGTTAAGCTGTCTGATATAACCATTTCAGTGGGCCCAAATGCCAGACATAGTTTTGTGAAGGATCATAGCATCATCTGTTTTGCCTAATGACTCTAGATTGGAAAACATTTGATAAGGCATTAAATGTGCTGCCTAAGTAACTTAAAGGGGTTCATGTTCAATGTCCTTGCAACATGCTATTTTTAACGTTTGGAATGAATATTATGGGAACTTATGATCATAAAGAATATTCTAGATTCAAATGGAAAGACCACAGAAGCTCTTTATTTGTGACAGGTGGATTAATTAGGAAGTCAATGGGGGAAAATAGTGAAAGCAGAAGGTTTGGTGGAGAGTCATGTGAGCTTTTGTGGGTAAACTTTGATTATATCAAAGTTAGTATAGGAGAGGGAGTGGATTATAAAGGAGCTTGACTTTTTGAAGGCCAACTATGCATTAAATGTAATGTCCTGAAATCCAAGTTTAGGGCTGCACATTCTTGGATCCAGGTGAAGACTGAGCGAGGCTGGTTCACCAAGTTTATTGCAGCTGTGAACAGGCATGGATCAGTGGCTTAGTCAAAAGCAAATGATCACCCACAGGGGCACATGGAAATGGGGACATAAAGGGAAGGGCGACTCTTCTCAGTTGTCTGGGGAAAGAGGGATATGATTGCCACCTGATTTGGTAGCCAACCTGACGCAGTTAGTATACTTGTGACAGCCTGGACAGTGAATCTTAACACAGTCCTGGTCAGAATACTCACTGGACCTCTGGGGAAGTGCCAAAGAAGATACTCTTAGTCTTCAGCGGCTTCTTGATCCTTACACCATTTGAAGTCTGAGATGGAGATCTGAGCATAACAGCTTCTCCCTAGCCTTCATATTCCTACCTTCTTACCTGTGATCCTTTAAGGCATCCTTTTCTCTTGGGTGACAGTACTACGTTGCCCTTGGGAGAGGGCAGGGGAGGGCCTTATCTTTCAACAGTTCTGTTTGGGCATTGGTCCACAACGTTTTCTTGGCTTAACTTACATGTGTTACTGTGCTCGGTGCTTTATATACATTTCAAAACTGCTAGGGAATTACAATGTGAAACACCTTGTAATTTCAATTAGAATCTTGAAGCCCACTGGGGATTTGGCTGACAGTTGGGGAACAAACATTTACAGTGGGTCTAGGGAAAGAATAATATTTGAGGAATTTGGTGATAGCTAGGTCATTTTCTTTGCCTTAAACTACTTAAAATAAAATGGTTTATGTGTGGACTTTTCTTGGAGGTGCCAAATATGAAGATAAGCTCCAAGGAGTGATTTTCTAATGAATAGGAAGTCTTTCCATAAACAACCTATCTCAATGGAAATATTGTCCTTGTTGAGAGAGAAACTGAGGAGAACTTATGTCTCAGTGTAAAAGTCATGGTGATTTTTCTTTTGGTAATTTGTTTCCTGGCCTGAGAAAATATTTGCATATAAATATATAAGGAAAATTATAGAAATGGAGCTAAAATGTATTTTCTCTGAGTACTTGTTAATATAATACTATTGAAATGCAAAGATCTGGTTGTCTGAATACAATACTAAAGTATTCCTAGACCCCCCACCTCAAAACTGGTCAATACTTATTAAAACATATATTTAGGCTGAAGGGCAAAGAAGAGAAACAAGTATCAATAGAATGGACTTCTCATTGTTTCCAAGTGTGTGCATGTGTGTGCTTTCTCTGGAGATACTCTTCCTCCTTAAGAAGAAATGTTATACTTATTCCTCAGAGGCTTATTCTAAGGGAATGATGAAAGCAAATGGGAACATTTATGTGTGGTTTGAATTGTTAATTTTTTAAATATTTGCATCCCTGCCTATGGGTTCCAGAAGAAAACAGAATGAGCGTGTTTAAAGAAATGAATAAATTAGAATCGAAGAATTTAGATGACTTAATCTTATTAAAAATTCAGGATATAGGATAAATTGTAAGCAGAACATGGATGATTTAATTTTTGTTGTCTACAATGGGAGAATATTTCATTCCCTGATCTTGCTGTCTTAGAAGGATACTAAATGCAGTGTAGAGCTTTTGGGAAGCAGCTTCGAACCTGGATATCCCACTCACTTGCCAATATTTTATGACCAAGCAGATGTGTACGCAAATCACACCTGTTCTAGTCCCAGAAGCTCTGCTTCAGTCAATCACTTTAAAATAACTTCTGTCTCTAAGATACAAAATGTACTAAAGAATCTTGAAGGCTGGACAATGAAGGTGTCAGCAGCTCCCCGAACAAGGGCACGGCTGAAACATATGGTCACATTTTCCATGCTTTCATGGGAGTCCAGGGAGCACTCAATGACAAATCAATGAAAACTTCTCACGGACGAGAAAGTGAGAAGCCCAGAGAATGTGTTGGGAGAGCAATAAGGCACATCTTGCTCTGTGGATGCTTTTCTTTTGCTGCTCTGTTCAGAAAAATCTTGAAGTAGTAATGGCCTTTGGCGATATAGTAACAGCAGGTAAATCTTATTTTGAAGTCAAAATTGTTCTCTGAGAAGGTGAAAGGTGAAATACTTGGCATTAACTGTTTTGATTGCTTTTAAAATATTTTTGTGTTTGTCTGGCACAAAACAGATATCATAACCTAGAAGAACAGACTGATACTTTTTCTGTAATGATTTACTAACAAAGTGAGAATTGCCTGGTTTTATAACTCACATCCCTAAGCACCATTGTTTGAGTTGGATCCTGAGTATTTAAACAATTCTGAAGAGATTTTTTCACAGAACAATAAACAGGTTTTGAATTTATGATGGGCATTGTGTAATCTGGGTTCTGACAGATCCTTGTACTTTTCTTCTCTGCTCATGGCCACATGTTATTTCTGCTTTGTAAAAGTAGGCTGTTTTATATAAGGTCAGAATTTACTGTGTTCTGTTTGAACACAACACAGTGATTTTTCATTGCATTCCTTGCAGACACTTAACAGTTAATTGTTGATAAGAGCCACTGTCTCTATTGTGTCTGGCTTTTTAATCCACAGTAGCCACATTTACGGCAGTGCCCATAGTTACCCAGCTGATGATCTCTCACCGGTAGCCACTGTTCTTTGTCATAAGTTTCACATCCTTTTTGTTGTCAATTGTCCTTTCCTGTATCACCATTGTAAACTTTTTGATACCAAGAGAGCAAGCTTAGATCTTTTTAAAAAATAATTTTTAAAATTTTATTGTTTACTATTTATTTACCTATGGCATGCATAAAGAAAAATGAATGTACTATAAGTGTGAATACTATATGTAAAAGTTCAAATAACCCGGACCCAGATAGGAAAATGCAGTATTGCCAGCACCACTTTCAGATTCTATCCCCAATTACCATAGATAACCACAGTTTTGATTTCTAGGAGCCTAGCTTAGCTTTGCATGTTTCTGAACTTTATTTAAATGTTTGTATGTACAAACATTTTGCTTGTATATAGTTTAGTATGTTTGTTTTCATTGCTATATAATATCCCATTTTTTTCATCCATTCTAGGGTTGGGCATTTACACAGTCTGTAATGTTTAGCTAATATGAAGAGAGTTGTTACTCACATTTTAGTAAATGCCACTTGATGAACATATGTATGCATACCTCTATGAGTGGAGTTGCTAGATTATGTGTATGCTTGATTGTAGAAGTTTTAAAAAGTAACCAATCAAATTAGGCTTTCAGAAAGACTTTCTTACAGCAGTGAAAAGAATGGATGAAAGAATGGTAAGAATAATTTAGATGAGGAATGATAAGAATTTGAACTGATGATTATCAGTGAGATAGGAATAAAAAGATGATTATGAGAACATTTGCATGGGAAAATAACTGAACTTGATGGCCTCATTAAACACAGGGTGAGGTCAGTATGACTTCCAGATGATATCATTCATAGAGATAGAGAATCTCCTTAATTAACATTAATATGCATACAGGAAGTTGTTCTTGTTTATTTTGGAGATGAAGAAATAGGACTGATACAGATAATACCTAATAAGTGGCTTATTTCCTCCAAGATGTAAGACTTATTCTTTAAATAGCCAAAATAGTGCCTGGATTTGTTTACCAAATGCCATGCCTTCTAATAATTGTACCGAGCGACACCTACAGAGTGCTTAAAGAGAAGACCTTGTTTAAATCTACCTCTGTCATTTAGAAATTACATGGATTTGGGCTAGTTAACATTTAAAAGGCATTTTTTTTCACATGTAACACAAGGTTAATAATATACATCTTGCATAATTCAATGAGATCAAGTATATAAAGTTTCTTTTAATGCCTGTCACATAGTAATTTTAAATGATAGCCCTTATTATTGTTACATTTAGTCATTACATCTTAATGCTTTTTAAAAAACTATTCATATTCTCAAATAAAGAGATGAGGCCACCTTTCTCTTCTCCACATCCTCTCAACAAATTTACCCTAAAATCTGAGTATTTGGACATTAAGTAAAAACTGACATTGTATTTAGCAGCTTTAAAACAGGCTTGACCATTCTGCCCACCTCCAGGTAGTTTCTAATTGAAAATAAGGATGTAAGCATGCTTAGATCTTAATACGAATATATTCCAATTTTATCCAACCAGCTTATCGTGATCTTTTATTAATAAGTATCCTACAATTGCTTCGTAGGATCTCAAAGTTTGCAACCAAGACGAATCATCATCCGTAAAAATTCCACTATATCTTCTTGGCTTTTAAGGTATAAAACTCCACTTGTCTTGGAAACAAATTGTACAGAGTACAGTCTGGAAAAAGCTACAACTTTAGTTTTACAGCATGGGGATTATTACTATTCACCTTGTGTACCTACATCTGCACAGGAAACAAAAAGACTCAGCACAGCCTCAGCTTCCAAATTCTGAAACATTTTGTGAGACTCCATAAAAGCAATGATGATCTTGCAATCCAGCTAGATCTGTTTTTCGTGTGGTCATTTCCAGGAGCAACAAGCAAGACCAGGGGTCTCCTAGTCCTTGCTGCATCATGTTCAGATCTGCTAACTGCAGTGCAAGCTGTTGAAGGAATTTTGAGGATGAAAATTTTGAATATAATGTTGATTTCATCATTGAAACTGCCAGGATAACAGAGGAATACTTTCATAAAGCCTTTTAAATCTTCAGCTATTTGTTCCTAGGCAAAGCATCCCTTCATTCCTGTCAGTTTCTCTGTCCCCTCACTCCCTTCACATACAAATCCCATATAACTTTGTATTTATGTAATGATTCAATGAAATAAAAATATTATAGCAGTTTTGGCTAATACTATTATAAAGTAATGTTCATTATCTGTAAAAGTTGGCCGTGATATATGCCATTCACAATTCACTGACTTTTCTGATATCTGCAAAGGACTTGGGGTTAGATCTGGACTAGAACATATTACTCATGTGACTATATTCTCTGGTTTCCAGGCTATAGAAAATTGTATCACACGACTATGCTTTGTTCTCTGAAAAACAGATGGAAGGGACACTACTTTTTAAATATCAGACTGATTTTGGTGGTTTATTTTCATGTGGCTTGCAGTAACTGAAGGAAGATGAACATGTTTTAAGATGTATGTGTCTCATTATACTGATTTGAAGACTCTGTAGGCATGTTTTGTTTGCTAAAACACTAGGAAAGATGAACATACACATAACAACAGCATAAAAGTGGTAAAGGCAGAAAATTCTGAGGCTGCCTCCAAATGCTTGTCTCATGAGTCTAAATTTAATATCACCCTTAAGCATTACAAGGAATAACTTTGGGGATAATGCTGCTCCAAACTGCAATAGCATACCTTGGCAAAATCATCCCTTTACCACCACCCCAGCCATGGTATCCTTCATACATTTTACAGTTCTTTACATGAGACATGAAAATAATTAAGATGAATCGAATATCAGAAATTCTGTTTACTACAGATGTTCAGAGTAGAGGAGTCTCTTTAGGCTGGATTTATTGGCAGTGGAGGGGGACCTATGAGTCAGACACTGGTAAAGTGTACTGGGGAGTGTAGTGGCATCCAAGTCCATTGGTTTGTAGCCACCACTAGGGTGCATTTCTTGAGAATGCTGTCATTTTCCCCAACATGGGCCTCTGGTCATGTTGCCCTCTTGATCACAGCCATCAGGATGTGGTGTGTCCACTCATTAAGAAGTCAGCGGAGCAAGCTCTATCAGTTAAATATTGAAAATTTGTCCTATAACTAAAGCTATATTCTGTTATGTTGTTTATCTGTCTATAGCAAATCCATGATTTCCCTATAAATTCATATTTCTACAAAAGATCAAGAAAAAGGCAGAGAAATTTGTTAAAAGGAAAACCTTACACAAATTAAGTTCAACAGAGTTTAATTGAACAAAGAATAAGATTGATTAATCAGGCAACCCCCACAAACCAGAAGAGGCTCAGAATGACTCAGGTGTTGTCTCATGGTCTAAGAAAATTATGAACAGAAAAAGGAAAATGACAAAAGTGAAGTATAGAAATAGCTGGATTGGTTACAACTTGGCATTGTCATATTTGAACATGGTTTGAACAGTTGGTTGCCTTTGGTTGTCGGAAACTTGGTGATTGGTACAGGAGTAGGTTACAGTCTGTTTATACATCCAATAGGTTACAGTGCACTATATATGGAAAAACTTTAGGCCAAAGATAAAATATGTAAGGAGGTAGCTTTAGGCTAAATTTAACAGGCTGAATGTTTTGAGTTTATTTTAGCATTGGTTTTCATGAGGACCCTGATTTCAGTGTCGGTGTCTTTGTTTTGTTTTGTTTTGTTGTGCTATTTTTTTGGCTTTCTGAAAGCATCCCTCTGTTATCCTGACAGTTTCAATGATGAAATCAACATTATATCCAAAATTTTCATCCTCAAAATTCCTTCCCTGCTTGCACCGCAGTTAGCAGATCTGAACATGAGGGAGCCAGGGCAAGGAGGTCCCTGGTCTTGCTTGTTGCTCCTGGAAATGACAGCACGAAAAACAGATCTAGCTGGATTGTAAGAACGTGGTTTCTATGGAGTCTCACAAAATGTTTCAGCATTTGGAAGCTGTTGCAGAGCTGGGTCTTTTTGTTTTCTGTGCAGATGTAAGTACACATGGTGAAACAAAACAAACTGAATTTGTTTTCAGTTTTAGGCCTTTGTTTTATAAGCATTTTACATTAAAATGTAGAAAAAGGAAATACATAAAATTTCTTTTCTTGTGGGAGAGTGGTAATATGAATTCATACAAACTTGACAAAATACAATGGATTTGTGAGATTCAGTCCCTTTTAGTGACATGGATGATGATGTGTTATTTGAATTGCTCTTCCCAAGTGTACCATTTTTTTTCTTGTTAAGGGTCTGTCTTTATCAGAGGGTCTGTCTTTATCAGAAAGTCCAGATACATTTTTAGTGTAATACATGTGACATGTATTTGTATATAAATTTCCCTGGGCATTTTTTGGTTGTAGAATATTATCATTTGGTATTTCCACAACTCCTAGAAATATTTTAAGCAGGATAGATGTCTTTACCTCAATCATATTAGGCATTTATTTAACATGAACCATGCCAGATGGTGTTTTGTATATGAAACTGAGAGTGTGCATGACATACAAAATTTGAAAGGTACAAAGAGGATTCAGTGAAAAGTAAACCTTTACTCAGGGCCCCCAGCTACCCAGTCAGTGCATCTCCATCACCATTTTATCATTTTATTCTCTATGTTTATACATAAATATACAAAATGCATATATCATATTATATATTATATCCCTATATGTACATGTGATGTATATAATATATAATTTATTTAATCAAGTATCTATTGATAATTTTAGATTGTTTTCAATCTTTTACCTACAATGCTGTGATGATGGTGTATTTAGAATACCTCTTCTCATAGATGTCTGTGGAGCTTCTTTCCTTATTTACTTCAGGTTTCAGTTTAAATGTCACCTCCTTGCTACCTTACGTAAAGCAGAATCCCTTCCTCATTACTCCCTACTCCTCTTATTCTATTTTTCTTCATAGCACTTGCTGTCAGTTGACATATTATGTATTTATTTGTTTAAAGGCTCTTTCCCCAACACATGTAAGCTTCGTGAGTCTCTCTACTGTGTTTGCTTCTCTATCCCCAGTGTGTAGAACAAGAGCGGGTGTGCCGTTGGTGTTCACTAAGTATTTATTAAATGAATAGTTCATTTTACACATTTGTCAGTAGATTTGTAGGAAAAATTTCTAGAAGTGGAATTGCTGTGTTAAAGGATGTGGGCATTTTTAATTTTGACACATGTTGCCAAATAGCTTTCCCTAGAAGTTGTAGAAATTTATATTTTTATCAGCAGTGTACCCACACTTTCACCAGCATCAAACTTGCTATCAGTTGATATAACCTACGGTATCTCATTTTAGGTATAATTTGTATTTCTCTATTATGAGTGATGTGCATACACTACCGAAACTCTTTAGCTGTTTATGATGACTAAACATATATGAAGTATTTTCACTGAATCTTTTTCAAAGACCAAAAGATCTTCCTGACACTCATGCTCTTATACCAGAAGTTGCCTAATATCTGCCCTGCTTGACTCTGTAGGAGTCATAATTTATCTGTGTTGAACATTGATAAAATCAGGGAATTTTTTTTTTTTTTTTTTCAGATGGAGTCTCGCTTTGTGGTCCAGGCCGGACTGCAGTGGCGCTATCTTAGCTCACTGCAAGCTCCGCCTCCCGGATTCGCGCCATTCTCCTGCCTCAGCCTCCCGAATAGCTGGGACTACAGGCGCCGGCCACCACGACCGGCTAATTTTTTTCGTATTTTTAGTAGGGACGGCGTTTCATTGTGTTAGCCAGGATGGTCTCGAGCTCCTGACCTCGTGATCCGCCAGCCTCGGCTTCCCAAAGTGCGGGGATTACAGGCGTGAGCCACCGCGTCCGGCCAAATCAGGGATTTTTGTAGTTGCTTTTGACTTCTAGATCTCTTATGCAATGAAATCTATCTAATTTTCCTTTTACCTTATGAATTTAATATTCTCCTACTCCCAGGTTATATTTGGGACCTCAGTCTGTGCCACCTGGAATATCAACATCAAGTAGTACATCTTACCATAATGAAGTTAAAAATACCAAGGCTTTGATATATAATGGGGTCTAATTTAAAAAGTGATATTGGCCAGGCACGGTGGCTCATGCCTATAATCCCAGCACTCTGGGAGACTGAGGTGGGCGGATCCCTTAAGATCAGGTGTTCGAGACCAGCCTGGCCAATATGGTGGAACCCCCATCTCTAAAATTACAAAAATTAGCTGGGCGTGGTGGCGCATGCCGGTAGTCCCAGCTGCTCAGGAGACTGAGGGAGGAGAAGTTCTTGAACCCGGGAGGTGGAGATTGCAGTGAGCTGAGATTGCACCACAGCACTCCAGCCTGGGTGACAGAGTGAGTCTCTGCCATAAGAAAAAAAAAAGTAATATCAATCCGTTGTGATGTTTCCTAGTTAATCGTATTTCAGGAGATCTTTTAACTCCCCCTTTTAAAATGTTTACATATATTAAACTCATGTGTTTGAACTATCATGGTTTTGCTGGAAAGTAAAATAGATATTTCCTGTTAGAATTAATTATTTGAATTATTAGATGAAATCTAAATGCACAAAATTCAAAATCCTCATAGCAAGAATAAAATAATGTTACAAAGATGATCTTCAACACTAGAACCTCTTGCCACTGCAACTCTAATCATACCAATACTTTTATATACCCTCGCCCGCCACTGACAAAAAGACATGGACCATTTACCTTTTACAAACTCTACCAAAACTTTAAAAAATGGAACTATTATAAGAACACTGAGGCAAAGACATCAATTTTCAGGACTCCTGAAAACTTGTGTTGTCTGATTTCTAACAAGAAATATAAAGCATTATAGCATGTGATTTTCTACTTGTGAGTGTTTGTCTAGGATCCTCTGAATTTTAATGTGGCTTATCCTTATAATTTGTTATATGATGCTTGTTAAATAATACCTTCATTCCTTTTTTTAATTAGGTGAGGCATTATGAAGTGCCATTTTTTAACAAACATAAGTAATACTATTAAGATCTAATTTTTAAATGAGGTTAGTAATATATTGATTAATATACAACTGAAAGTTCAGATAAATATTTTTTTGTAAAATTTCTCACTAAAGTTTTTAAATCTGTAAATGTTGTATTTGGAAATTTTATGAGCTAGAAACAGATCATGTATAGATTTTCACTGGTCAAGGAAAGATAAGGTAACAGGATTGTTACAAGAAATATTTGCACTAATAATATTCATGTTGCATATAACCTTGATGAGAAAATTTTTATAAGCAGCAACCATAATGTTAGGGCTCAGTGATTATGAAAAACTACAGTGGCTAAGAGAAAATAACCTTGACACTATAATATAAAATCCCTGAAGTGTTATGGATGACTGTGTTGTATAAATGTAACTTAGAATCATCTTCATGCTGAGATTTAATATTTGGGGGTCAGTGCGGTGGTAAAGTTGGAAAAAAATAAACATATCAACTAAACAAACTTCATTATTATGTCCACCAGGGAGTCTCAGTATGAAACCTTTTCATATCAAGAATAATTTTAACACGAGTCAAAAATCCTAAAGCATGCAGGAGATCAACTAAGCAACGACAAAATTCTTAAAAAGAAACACAAACTCCTGAGCTCTTGCATATAAAGTTTTATACATAATATATTTAAGCATATATTATTCAAAGATAGGTGTCTCAAGTATACATATATATATACATAAAATCATTTACTTATTTTCCAAAAGAGTTGAGTTAATCAAAAAGATTAAAATGTTATTTTAGAATCATCATCACATCAGATACACATAAAATTAAATTATTAAAATAAGTTAAATAAAAAACTCATTCTTTCATTTATGTTTACTTTTATATTAAACAACAGCTTTTTTGAGGTACAACTGACACATAATAAGCTGCACATATTTATAGTAAACATTTTGGTACATTTTCACATATGTGTGCACTCATGGAAGTATCAGCACAATCAAAATAGTGAACATTTTCATTATTTTCCAAAGCTTTTTTATACCCCTTTGAAATCCCTTTTCCTGCCCCACCCTATTTCATTCTCCAGACAACTGCTATTCTGTTGTTACTGTAGTTAAGTTGGCATTTTCTAGAGCTTATATAAATGGAATCATACAGTATGTAATCCTTTTACCTTCTTTCACTTAGCAAAATTATTTTGAAAGTCATCCATGTTGCATTCACAATAGTTTATTTCTCTTCTATTGCTGAGTAGTATTTCGTTGTATAGATATACCACAGTTTGTTTACCCATTTACCTGTCGATAGACATTTGGGTTGTCTGGATTGTTATGGCTATTACAAATGAAGCTGCTATGAACATTTGTGTATAAATCTTTGTATGGACATATGCTCTCTTTTCTCTTGAAAAAATACCTAGGAGTAAAATGGCTGGACTATATGGTACATGTATTTTTAATAAAGTGCCAAGCTGTTTCCAAAATGGTGGTACCATTATACGTTACCACCAATAGTGTGGTAATAGAGAATTCCAGTTCCTCTAAATGTTTGCCAACACTTGGTATGAGAAGTCTTTTTAATTGTTAGACATTCTAATAAGTGGGTTGTGGTCTCCAATTGTGGTTAATTTGCATTTTCCTATGACTAATGATGTTGGGCATCTTTGCATTTGCTTATTTGCCATCCATATATCTTTTTTGGTGAAGTGAATGCAAAAATCTTCTGCCATGTTCAGGTTGAGTTTGCTTCCTTATTATTGAGTTTCAAGAGTTAAAAAAATATTTTTTGGATTTGAATATTTTATATATATAGTGGATACAAGTTCTTTGTCAGAGAGCTGCTTTGCAAATAACTTCTCCTGGTTTGTAGTTTGAATTTTCATGCTCTTGTGACTATGAGAAGAGAAATCTGCTGTTATCCTTATTTTTGTTCCCCTATAAGTAATGTGTATTTTTCTTTTAGCTGCTTTTAAGATTTCCTATTTATTCTTGGGTTTGAGCAATTTTATTATAATGTGGCTGTAGTCTTCTTTATGTTTCTTGTTCTTGAAGCTTGTTAAGATCCCGAATCTGTGGGTTTATGATTTTCATAAAATTGGGAAAAATTTCAAACATTATTTCTTTAAAGAAATTTCCTGTTTTCCCTTCACTATTATGTTCTTTCATGACTCTGATTACATATATATTAAGCTACTTGAATTTGTCCCAAGTTCACTCATTTACTTTTTAAAAATATTTTTTCTATATATTTTACTTTCTAAAGTTTCTATTGCCATATCTTCATGTTCACTGATCCTTTGTTTTGCAATATTGAATTTTCTTTTAATCCCTTCTACTGTATTTTTCAACTTTAGCATTATAGTTTTCATCTGTGGAAAAAGGTTGATTTGGATTTGATTTTATAATATTTTCAATGTCTCTATTTAACTTTTGGAGCATAGAGGGTATAGTTACAATAATTATTTTAGTGTTCTTGTCTAGTAATTCTAACATCTGTGTCAATTCTGGCCAATTGATTCTCATTGTTATGTAGTTCCTTGCTTCTTTGCATGGTAATCTTGAATTAGATGCCAGACATTGTAAATTTTATCTTTTTAGATGTGGGATATATATATATATATATTTTATAACTCTTTTTGAACTTTGTTCTGAGATGCAGTTAATTTACTTAGAAACAATTTGATCTTTTCAAGTCTTATTTTTATGATTTGTTAAATGGATCTGGATTAATGTTCAACCTAGGGCTATTTCCCACCACTGAATCAAGGCCCTTCTGAATATTCTACCTAATGCTCCATGAACTGTGAGTTTTTTGGGATCTGGCTGTTGTGAACAGGCACTATTCCCAGTCCTATGTTAGCACCTGGCATATTCCTTCAAATCATTTCAAATGGTTCTTTCCCCAGCCTTGGGTAGTCTTCTCAAACACAAGTGCTGATCAATACTTAGTTGAATACTCGAGGACACCCTCTGTGGATGTCTGCATTTCTCTTTCCATATAGTTCTCTCCTTTCTGATATTCTGTCCTATGAACTCTTGCCTCTTTGGTCTCCCTGGACTCTCAACTATGTCTCTTCAACTCAGACAGAGTACATCAGGTTCAAGCTAGGTTCCCCCTCCCTCTACTGAGGCCTGAAAACTCTTTCAGTCAGTAAACTGGAGGCAATTGCAGGGCTTCATTTATTTCCTGTCTCTCGGGGATCACTGTCCTTTTTTCCTTCCTGTCCAGTGTTTTTAAAATCTTGTTTCATTTATTTAATCTAGGATTTTTTGTGGGGGTTGTTTCAGGCAAGCATTACTTCATCTTGGCCAGAAATGGAGGTCTCCAAAGACTAATTTTCCAAACATTTATATTCTTTTTTTTTTTAAGAGAGGAATAAGTAATATTTTAAAGATGTAAATGAGGAGAAAAGTGAATGCAACATTTCTGTTTATATAAAAAATTTATTCCAAGGTACAGAGTTAATAGTTTGGGCTTCCCTTTTTAATTTGTTCTGATATTGAAATTTTTATTATTTAATATTTGCTAAGCCTTCTAGATATGGACTCCATTGCTGTATGGTAATTAATCAAATTCCTACCTCGAGGAACTTGAAATCTAATGGCATTACATACATGTATATAATATTTAATATTGGAACTCAAATATAGAATTAAAATATAAGTGAACAGGGATAGCTAATGTGGAAATGCACTAGGTTGAAACTTTAATCTTCCCTTTTCAACTTTTCTTTAAATGGGGAGTCAAGCTACAAAGTAATAATGAAAGGAATAATTATTGAGAGTTATGAGAGGAGATAAATTAGGTGAATTTCCACAATTGGAATACTATTGGATGATCATACAGAAGTAGAAAAGAAGACATGCACCATATAACAACCTCCTGAGGTAGTCAGGCAGGTATTATCTCAGTTTTAAAGATGAGAACGCTGAAGTCTTGGGAGAAACATAATGGATTCTTCAAAGATATACCTCTGCCAGCCACTCATGTGGAGCTGATCATACCTGCTCTGGTGCCCCTAATTGTTCCTTTCTCATAAGACTATGGGATCACACTGAACCTGAACCAATAGTTCACATGATTATCTTCCTTACTGCAACGTATATAGATTTGTTACATGGAAAATATATATGTTTGGAGGGATAAAATTTGACATGAAGAAATCTTTGTGAGTTTATGTATGTTTAAACTTTTGAGCGGTATAACAATTGTGTGGTTTTGACACTGCTGTGGAACTGTACTGTATCTTATCCATCTTTTAATTTCTACTATTCAGCACAGCATCATACATATAGTAAGTGGCCAGTAATTGTAGAAGAAATGAATTAAGGGATACCCTGAATTTTAAGAGAATTGGAGCAAAGCATACTAACTTTGAATGTAAAACAGTATTTTTAAAATTATGACTTTATTACTATAAGTGGGGTAGAGGCAAATATTTGTTTTAAAAAAGGCAAGATTCAGAGTCTTCTAACCTCATATCTTCAATGTTTGAAAGAATAATGATGAATTTATTATTTTACACACTTTCCTTTCTTCATATCTACTGTTCCTTTTCTTCTCAGTGTAACTCAATCTAACACCCTCCACCACCTCCATCACTGCTGCCCTTCTTGAAGCTACCATGACTTCACCTGCACTGCAACAAATGATCTCCCTGCTGCCACTCTTGCCCCCTACCATCTATTCTCTACTCAGCAGCCAGAGTGATTTTTAAATGTGTCTTATCACTTCCCTAGTTAAACATTTTTTGTGGGTTCCCACTCTATTTCATAACCTAACAGGCCACAAAGGTGTGCTACTGCTGCTACTGTGCCTTCTTCTTTTACCAATTTCCCCCCACTCACCTGCTTGTATTGGCCTTGGCGTTCTTTAAGCACTACTTATGTTGCACTTGCTCTCCCTTCCACTTGAAATGTCTCGCCCATTTTATCCCAAAGTTATTTGAATAATGGTGTCTCTAATACAGTAGACATATAAAGCTCCCAATGGACTCCTCTGAAAAGCAACACACGTTTGGGTAGATAAGTTGTGGGTTTGTTAAAGAACCAGTCACAGTGACTTCTAGTTACAAAGCTTTTGGAAATAAAGATAGTTTACTCTCATTCTGCAAGAGGATGGCTTTCCAAGTCTCATGGCTGTCTTGGGAGGTTGACATTACTGTTTGAACCATGAATTATCCGGTATCTATATTGGTAGAACAAGCAGCTGTTATTCCTTCTGTCTCCCTCAGTGTGTTGTTACCTCTACCATCGATATTTTCCAGCTTGAATGATCGTCCTTAGGGATGTAACACCTCCCCTTTTCCCTCCAAGGTCGATTGTAGTTCAGTTGACAGGGACAGAACTATTATAGCTATGTTATACAATTTGTTTTTTTACTCTGATCCATTTTGTACCATTAATATGGGTATGGCTGTTTTGTTAGAAAAAGGAGCTATGTTCAGGGAGAAGAACATGAAAAATTACCTGGGGAGAAATGGGATCTTTCTAACAAAGAGATATATCAATGTAAGAACTTATTAAAAACAGCATTTATAATGCACAAATTGTAGTCATTGCAATGGCCATGATTGTTATTCTAAACCGCTCCTCTAGACTTTCAAAGGAGACCAGTGTCTTCGGACAGTCTCTTTTGTCAATGATGGATTTCTCTTTTTATGTTGCAGTACTGTAGGATTTGTTTCTCTGCTTTGTTCAAAGGGCTGCACTTCTGTTCATCCCTGTTTTCACCAATTTCCCTTCCATCTTGTCTCTTCTCGGCTCATTACAAGAGCTAAGAATATTTTTTCCTTTCCAAAAATAAGCCAAACATAAATTACCTTTCAGCTTTAGGAAATTTAAAACTTTCATGTAAATACTAATAAAAATATGATTCCTGTAGAATCTCTAACAATCCATTTTTGTTTTCCATAAGAATATTTTGACATGTTGCTTTTTAATGGCCAAGAATACTATGTATTTCTGTGATACTTAGGAAGATGGTGCATTCTACCACAGGTAGACTTTTTATATATCTACATGTAGAGTGTTTGCAAATATTTGGCTTCTCTTTTTCAGGGTAGAAATAGCCACTGTTGTATCATTTGAACCAGTTCAACCAGCATGCTGATAATTGTGAATAAACAGAGTAGGTAGAGTATACTGGTCTCTAGGAATCAGAAGTGGTATTGTTTAATTTGAAAGAAACTTCTGTGCTAGTAGTAGTGTGACAGGCCTAGCAAACAGTTCAAATGGAGCGAAGACAATATATGGTAGAAAAAGAACTATAGATAATTCTTTAATCTCTTATTATATACTCATAAATCAAGGAAGTAATGCAACTAATGGAAGTACTTTAAGGAAGAATGTGTCATCCACAGTGCTCAAGTCAGGTAAGATGGTAGGTGCTATTTGCAGATTAAGGACTATTATGGACTGTTTTTGTCCCCCTCACATCAATATGTTGAAATTCTAAACCCCAATGTGGTGACATTAGGAAAAGGAAACTTTGGGAGGTAATTAAGGTTCGACAAGGTCATGAGAGTGGGGCCCTTGGGATAGGATTAGTGCCCTTGTAAGAAGAAACACCAGGGAGCTTGCTCTCTTTCTCTCCCTGCCACATGCACAACGAAGAGCTCATGTGAGCCCACGGTGAGATGGCAGCCACCTACAATCCATGAGAAGGGGCCTCAGAATGAAACTACCTTCGTGACACCTTGATCTTGGACTTCCCAGTCTCCAAAACTGACAGAAATAAATTTCTGTTGTTTAAGCAACCTAGTCTGGCTTTATGTTATAGCAGCCCAAGAAGACTAACACGGGAGCTCTGTGAGAGTGTGTGTGTTCCATTTGGCGTGGCAAGGGGAGAATCTAGTGCAGTGGTTTTTATATTACACCTTTACAGTCTCTCTTATGTTATAGCTGTTTGTATATTGAGGTTGACCCATCTTGATCTCCCATCATATAATGAGTTACAACTCAAAAAGCAGTAAATTGTAAACCCTGGTCTCTCCCAATCAATGCCTGCTATTTATCTTATCTTAGGTCTCCTTCTTTTTACTGAGACAGGTTTTTTATTTTTATTTTTTAATAAACAGAGGTTCAGAAGATGAAGAACAACTTGTCATTTCATACATCAGCAACTCTGACAAATGTTTAGAAGTAAACATTTGGAACTGAAGCGAAGTTTAGTAATAATTTGGGAGTCTTACTTCCCCAGTGATACTCAGAGATTAAATAGTACTTAATTATTGCTGGGAAGGTTGTGGGTAGGGAGGACAGGAGTAATTTGTTCCAGGAGCTTTTATTGTTGTGTGGCGGGAGGTCTGAGTCCTCCCCAGGCCTTCTGCTTCCTTCCTCTGTGTTAGTCTGGCTCCAAGACTCACTCCTCTCCTCCTGACTCCCCATTCCCCCTGCCTGGCTGTGCCAGTGAGCTACCATCTTAATATTAAACCGCCTTGGGGAAGAGAGTGCCTAAAAAAATCAGAGGTAATCTACCCCCAGATATTTCGGAGAAGATGGTTGTTTTGTTCTAATGATAACTTTGAGTTATTCTCTTTCTCCTACCCCATTACACCTGAAAAATAAGTATTAACAATATTCAGTACAGATATTTATTGACCTGCCTTTATATACTAAGCATTGTGCTAGGCCTCAAAGCACAAACAGGAGTAAGGTCTGCTCTGTACTTGAAGAGCTTCCATTCCAAGGTGTTGTAGGAGAGGGGTAGAGTGAGGCACTTAATAAATAATAATGTATGATATTTTGTAGTGGCAAAAGGACAGATTCACTCAGGAGGGGTCAGAGGGAGGATTTAATAGGGCTTCACAGGGAAGATAAGCATTGAACTTGGACCTTGAATAATAAATGGAAGTCTCCCAAATGGGATTTGGCAAGAGGAGCCTTCCAAGCAGAGGAAACTGCCTGAACCAAGGCAAACAGGTAGGAAAATATTTGTAGCGTTTAGAAAGCTGAGAATCTGCCTATAAGGAAGGTTAAGTGGATTTGTGGCAGGAAGAAGGCAGGAGATGAGCTTGGAAATTTAGTCCTCAAATGACAAGGCTAGCGGTTTCTCTTACCCCAATCTTGGCATGGGAGGGCCACCATGAGTTTTAAGCAGGAAAGTATTATGAGAGTTAATTTTTTAGAAAACTCACTTAGGCTGTATGTAAAGAGTGGATTGATTGCAATTAGGGAGATCAAGTTGGAGCTTGCAAAATTCTTTGCAGGTGATGGGAGTGTTGCAATTTAAAAAGTGGAGATGGAAGGAAGGAGCCAGAGATGCCAGAGATAGAATTGACAGTTGATCTAAAAAAGAACAACAGCTGATTGGGTTTGCCTATGTACAAAACTTTGGAACTGGTGAAAAAAATTAGGAAGCAGATGTCTTCAGCTGGACATGTTGAGAATAGAATCTGGTATGATCAGTTTTACCTAAAGACACTTAGATTCATATTATATAAATACTGAATTCTCAGTGCAGTGGTGATGAAGGATGCCTAGCTTTTTCCTGTGTCCATAGATTTTTAGTTGGTTTACCCACCTCCAAGAACCCAAGAACAATATAAGGGAATAACCAGTGTCATACTGAAACCACATAAAACAAATTAATATTTGATAATATTAATATTGATAAGGTAGTCAGAAATTTATTCATATAAAAAGAACCTGGTCAAAAGTATTTAAGATAAGTTTTTCCTAAAATAGGAAAACAGGTAATTTATATTAATGAATTCTTTTAGGGCATAGAAAGAGATAGAAAGCTTTTACATTCAGTAAGATTTGAATATCAATAATAACAGAACTGATTGAGAATAACTTAAAAAAAGAAAGACTCATTTTATTTCTGAACATAAGCACAAATAGCTTAAATAATATATAAGCAAACCAAGTCCATCAAATATACTTAAAGTTGAAATATCATGAGCATTGTTATTAAAATCAGAAGTTATCACTATTAACATTAGACAGGTGATCCTAACCAAAGACTAGAACAAGAAGTAATCAATAACTAGATCAAAGACACAAAGGAACAAAAAAAGTATGAGTATTAGAAAGATAAAAATTTATGAGTAATTTTAGACCTAATTTTTAATAACAAAATTTCAACCAAAAATCATTTGGGCTTCTAAAAGAATTAAGGAAGGTGGTCTGTTGCTATACACTGAATATTTATGTCCTTCTAAAATTTATATATTAGGATTCTAACCCCAATGTGATAGTATTTGGAAGTGGTCCTTTGGGAAGTGATTAGGTTATATTGGTGAAATGGGATTAGTGCACTTGTTAATAGGATGAGTGCCCTTATAAAAGAGACCCCAGAGAGCCCCCTTGCCCTTCTGCCTTGTGAGGATGTAATGAGAAGACAGCCATTTATGCATCAGGAAGTAGTCTCTCCCCAGATACAGAATCACTGGCACCTTGATCTTGTATTTCCCAGCCTCCAGAACTGTGAGAAATAAATTTCAGTTGTTTATAAGCTACCTTGTCTATGGTATTCTGTTGTAGCAGCCCAAGTGGACTATGACACTTGCCATTCAATCAACATACAAAACTCAAATTATTTCAAACATTATCATTTAGAGGTGGAATTTAGAAATGTAATTGATGAAAGGGCACTTTTTTAAAAAATAGCCAAAAAGCTTAGGACATCTAGCAATAAATCTAACAAAAAATGTGCAAGATCTATGTATTAGTTTCCTATTGCCACTGAAAGAAATTGGCACAAACTGATGTCTTAAAGCAACATAAATTTATTAGCTTACAGCTGTGGAGGTCAGAAGTCCCAAATAGGTTCACAAGTCTGCATTCTTTTTGGAGGCTCTAGGGAAAAATATGTCTCATTGCCTCTTCCAGCCTGTAGAGGGTGACTGCATTCTTTGACTCATGGTCCTTTCCTCTACCTTCAAAGCCAGCAATCACATTATTTCAGACTCTGCTTCTTCTCAGATATTTCTACCTCCCTCTTTCATTTTTTCAGGATTATGATGACATTGAGCTTACCCAGATAATCCAGGAGAATCCCCCTATCTCAAAGTCCTTAACTTAATCACACCTGTAAAATCCCTTTTGCTGTGTAAGGTGACATATTCACGGTTTCCAGGGATCAGGAAATAAAAACCTTTTGGAGCTCATTATTCAACCTGCTACAGGATATATGAAGAAAATGGAGGCATTATAATGTTATGGTTAAAGATGAAGTTGCTAGCTCTGAAGTCAGACTACCTAAGGGGGAATTCCAATTCTACCACTTCTGCTTCTTTGATCTTAAGAAATTAACATAATCTTGCTAAACTTATTTTTTATTTGTAAAATAATGAAATTATCTTTCATTCCTCAGAGAGTGATTGCGGGAAATAATATGATAATCCTTATAAAGAGTTTGGCACAACTTGATAATTTAAGAAGATACTGAATCCATAAATATGAACCACATGCAATGAAAAACAATGCTTATAAACAATAAAGAATGGTTGAGAAACAAAGTTATGTTATCAATATAAAATTTCAAGAAGAATTAAAAGGTAAAGTTCAAAAAATATCACAATGTGAAACAAACTAAAAAGACAATAATGGGAAAATATGAGCTATAATAAAGGCCAGACTTATAGACAATACTTTCTGGAACTCCTATGATAATAGGCTTTCAGAAAGAGAGAACAGAAAAACTCAACAGAGGACATTAGAAAAGGAGTAAAAGCGGCCAGGTGTGGTGGCTCATGCCTGTAATCTCAGCACTTTGGGAGGTTGAGGTGGGTGGATCACCTGAGGTCAGGAATTCAAGACCAGCCTGGCCAACATAGTGAAACCCCATCTCTACTAAAAGTATAAAATTAGCCCAGCGTGGTGACGGGCACCTGTAATCCCCGCTGCTCAGGAGGCTGAGGCAGGAGAATTGCTAAAGCTGGGAGCTGGAGGTTTCAGTGAGTGGAGATCATGCCACTGCACTCCGGCCTGGGCGACAGAGTGAGGCTCCATCACAAAAAAAAAAAAAAGAAAAAAAGAAAAAAAAAGAGGAGTAAAATCATGTAGTTTCTCACAGCTAAACAATGGCATTGCTCTTCTAATGGAAGAGGACTATTAACTGCTAAATTAAATGAATGTATCAGACTTTTCAATGGAAATATCAAATGCTGGAAAGCAGTGAAGTATAATGTTCAAAAATTTGACAAAAAATGAATTTCAACCTCGAGTTTTATACCTAGCCAAACTATCATTTGACACAAAGAAAAAAATACATTTTTAGACATACAAGGTCACAGAAGGGCTACCTTCCCTGTACCCTTTTTTAATGAAGTAAAATGAGGGCATGAACTAAAGAAAAGAACTTGAGATCTAGGAATTAAAGGAATCAACTAAGGAGAGAAATGCAGGTGGTCTCAGAATGACAACTGAGGATTAGGTCTAAAAAGCAATCAAGTTGGAGTAGAATGATAGAGATCTTGTTGATTTACTATTTGTAGTGTGTTATCCTAATCTGAATGATCCAAAATGGTTCACTACCATGTCCAGCAGAAAGGGAAAAAGGAAAGAGGTGGGCCTTCCTTTGAGTACATGATCCAAATGTTCACATTATTTCTGCTCACATCCTATTGGCCAAAACCTAGTCACACTTCACTGGAAGGGTAGCTCAGGCTCCTGACTCTGTGCTCATTATTTCATTATTCTACTTTTATTCTGTGCTCTATTTCATTATTCTACTTGCTCTTGACTACTATTTATTGTTTACCATTTGCTGACACTGTGATAAATTCTTAAATAGTTTTATCTGCAAAACAGTCATATGAGGTATTATCTACATATTGCAAATAAAAATTTAGGGCCTCTGGAAGTTTAGATAATCTCCCCAACATCATGCAACTACTAAGTAGAAGAGTTAAGACTAGGACTCTCATCTTTCTGACTTTAGTGTTCATAATCTTAACTGCTAAGTCATACTGCCTTTATTATAATTGTCAACTGATGGAATGACAGTTCTTGACCACCAAAGCTGTACTCTTGGCATCATATCTGAGGTATGCTGCACACTGCCCTGTATTGTATTACTGAGGGCTGTGGTTTCCTGATTGGATATAAAAGCTCCTTTGGGCAAAGAGCTTCTTTGTAGAATAAAGTGGAGGTGGGGAGTGGCAGTGATTCTCAGGCTGTGTGGAATATAATTGCAATTTCAACTATACAAATTAGGGATGTCTAGAAGCATTTTCCCACCTCTTATCTCTAGATGTGAAAGTGCCGTAGATGTGACTTAGGTGCTAATCATTTCTCAGGTCTATTCATCTGCTTTATATTTAGATATAAACTCTTTCCAAAACTGGGAAATTCCTTCATTGATATCCTTTATTTAAATTCTGTCATGACTTCACATCTTTTTCTGTTTTCATGGGTCTTTTGATTGGAAGGCAGATGAAGGTGGATCAGGCCCAGTCTGCTTTTTGCTGTCAAACTTCAAAATTGATCCAGGGCCAGTCTTTGTACTATTAAGGAAGCAGCTATTAAGAGAAGGACAGTAGAGCAATGGCTGTTTTATATTCTCAGCAGGTCTGAGCAGACACAATTTGACATCAAGGGGAAATATTTTTTAAAAAGGAAAGAAAAAAATGACTCTACTGTTTAGTATGTACTTTCTCAGAGAGTGAATGATTGTTTTATAAAGAGGTCTGTGTATGTTTGTGATTGTGTATGTGTTTGTGTGTGTAGGTGAACAAGTGCTTAAATAGGTGGAAAAATAAAAAAGAGGTAGTTGAAACTCATTTGCTGGGGAAATTTTGAAGGGCATAAGAATTGCAGTGTCCTCTTTGTATCAAGTCCTTCATTCCTCAAACCTTTTCTTCAGATGTAGAATGCCAGATACCACCACCTACTATACAGCTGAGGCCCTCGAAGACTTTATTCTAGACCAAATTAATCTGATTTGAATTAATACACTGTTTGGGAGAAATAGGTGCATCTGGTTTGAAAACAATGGCTGTGGGCATACAGTGAAGTACCTTCCCATCAGATAGGTCTCCAGCCACGTGTGGGTTTGGGAGTGGAATGGGAAGAAGGAGGTGGTAAGGTGCAGATGTCAGGGCAGCAGAGAAAGGTCACAAGTGAGATGTGATTGTGTGAGGAGTCCTGGGAAGGTTTACTTCTTCAGATGTCTTTCCTTTGGATTATGGGAAAAGTTGTTTACTACACACTTTCAGTTTTCCTGTACGCATAATTCCTTTTCATTTCTCCGACCCTTGGGTAATGTTGAATTCTCCTGCACAGCCATGCGTGATAGTGTTGTTAAGAATAAAGTGAGAGTACGAGGTCAGGAGATCGAGACCATCTTGGCTAACACGGTGAAACCCCGTCTCTACTAAAAATACAAAAATTAGCCGGGCATGGTGGCGGCGCCTGTAGTCCCAGCTACTCGGGAGGCTGAGGCAGGAGAATGGCGTGAACCCGGGAGGCAGAGCTTGCAGTGGGCCGAGGTAGCGCCACTGCACTCCAGCCTGGGCGAAAGAGCGAGACTCCGTCTTAAAAAAAAAAAAAAAAAAAAAAAGGAAGAATAAAGTGAGAGTAAAGAAGAATGTGACTTGGCCCCCATCCGCTCTCCGGAGACAACAAAGGAGCTACTTCAGTCTCAAGAGCCTGAGGGGTGTCAGTCCTCTGTGGTGCTCTAACCGTCAGGGGGAGCCCCGCTGGTAAGCAGAGACCGTGGAGCAGGCAGTATAGGAAGAACTCACAGAAACCCCACCTCTTCTTTCCCTGTACAGCAGTGGGAAGTGATCTTTGCAAGGGGAGGGCGATGATGGGGGCGTACTTTGATATAAAGTGCTAGTTTATGTGTGTGTTTTCTGCGTTGCCATGATTTTATGACCAGTCTCCTAGTAAGATTAAAAGATTGTAAATGATTTCTTACATGAATCACCACAAAACCATATCAAGATAAAATATTACTTTTCTCTATGTATGCTCTCTACAAAAAATACATTTTAAAGAGATTTCCTATAAGGACACTTGTACACAGAAAAAAAATTCATATGTCCTTTAACAAGTACAATTCTAGTTAAAAACCGATATACTTGGATTAGCATTTATACTGCAATTCAGAGATAACGATGTGTACATAACATATACCATGCCTGCTGAAAACCAGGCTTGGAGAGAGTTTGTAAATAATTTAACAGTATTCAATAGTACAGGCTGTGGAGCATCTGGAATTGCTTCCTTCTTTTTTGGATTGCACAATTTCAGGTTTGTTTTGCCATATTTCCCATTTTTCTGTCTTGTTTTGTTTGCCAAAACCACCCAGTAAGGGACAACTTAAAATCTAAAGTGTGTTTATCCTCCTGACTGCTTTGGTTCACCTTCCAACTTCCTGGCACCAGATTACAGAAGGGAGTTTGTTCTCATCATCAAGACACACTTGTCCTGTTGAGAACTCATTCTCAGGGATAACCTCTCATTGGGGCCCCACTGTCAGAAGAGTTACTTGGCTCCATTGAAAGTGATCTTGTGCTTTTTTCCTGCTACAGTTGCTGCACAGAAGTGAGGTAGTGAAAGTCTTAAAAGTCATTTTAGGTGTTTTACCCTTCCATATTCCCCAAGTCAAGAAATCTCTGGCTCTGGATTAAAATGTTCTCTTCTCTACCCTTAGGATCCGCATTACAGTTTTAAAGTGTACAACAGCCAATGGGTCTAACAATCTTGGAATTCTTGCCTTGTAGAAGGGGAACAGGTGTTCTTTTGAATAGGGAAATCCATATGCACAGTAGCAAAGGTCCTGTCCTTACCTATCACATCTGAGCTTTATGCAGGCAGTAACGGGTTATGGCCTCGTTACAGCCATCAACATCTTTCCTCTGTGGCCTTTCCAGGTCAACAGTTGTTCTGGGAAATGTGGTGTCAAATGTTCCTGTTTGAAGCTATTCACTTCCACAGTTTTGTTCAATGTACAGAAACTATGAGTCCACACTGACAATTAGAGAGTTTGATAGTCATTTGCTCTCTTAGTCCTGTCTTAAGCCAGTAGAATTTTTGGCCTTTGCAGGGGCAGAGAATACAGATGTGACTGTATCTTTTCGAGTCACTTGCTAGTTTGGGTCCTGTGTAGTTAAAGATTATGGGAGTATGTATACTTTCATGGGCATTGATAAGGAAGATGTTTTCAGAATGACTCCATTATAAGGAGACATATTTCCAGTTTGCAGGCCAATTAACAATCAGAACGATTAGTCAAGAGCACATAGGCATATTCATATAGCCTTGGAATCTTCTGGGGAAAGTGATACTTGCTGCTGTAACAGACAATTCTAAAATCTCTATGGCATTACATGACAAAATATCATTTTTTACTCACATAAAGTGAGGGTAGGAGAAGTTTGTTCCACACTGTCATTTAAGAATTCAAGCTTCTTTCATATAGGACATCATCTTTAAATATGGCTTCAAAGGTTGTTGCAAATGGATATTGCTTATTGCTGTAATAAGGAAGGGTTGACAAAATTTTTCCATAAAGTGCTAGGTGGTAAATATTTCTTTAATTTTGTGAGCCATGTGGTTTTGTTGCAGTTACTCAAATCTGCCATTGTCATGGAAGAGCAGTTATAGCTGTAGTTTTGTTCTATTAAAACTTTATTTACAAAAGCATACAGTAAGCTAGAGTTAGCTGTCAGCTATAGTTTTCTGATGCCTGGACTAATTTTGTCTGGGATATATTTATAATTCAGATATAGAAATAGCATATATTACTTCCACTCATTCTGTTGGCCAGAAATCAATGATTCAGTTTTAGCCTAACTGCAAGAGAGCCAGATATGTAGTTTAGTGGGGTGTCTAGAAGAAGAGTAAAGGTATCGTGGGCCCCAGGGATCTTTTCTATACTTTTCAACAGCTTAATGTGAATTGACTGTCCCTGGCAAACCAGAAGTTTCTAATACTGCAGCTTTGTGGTTAGGATGTTAGATCACTTCAAGTGATACTATTTCCTACTGTGGTTTTTGTCTAAAAAACCACCACTATGACAAAGCTCCAAAAAAGTTATTTTACAAGGTACATTGAAAATTTCACTGCTTTTCTGATTTTGGTACTGATGCTTCAGAGAACTGGAGGAAAGTTGCCTGTAGTTAAATAGAAGTAAATGGGTGCTGCCTCAATTCTCCCTGGCTGAAGGTGGAGTAGGAGACCTTCCATAGTTGTAGCTTTTAGCAGAGACTCAACCTAAGAAAGCCTACAGGAAAGTGGTTAGTCCTCAGCAGTCTTCTTTCCTGTAACTTTTGGAGAGGGATGGAAGATCACTGTTTATATTAGTTTTATTCCATATAATAAATAAGCTGCTAAAGAATACATTTTATTTCTCTGAAAAGAATTTTCTCTTCTTCTGATTTTTCTTTTAGCTACATCATTCTCCACCAACTGACTAGTAATAGATGCATTTTGAACTTAAAAAGCTAATAATCAAGTAAGACAGTTAGAATATAAGCCCAATGATTTTCAAATGCAATCTAAGTTTGTCTTGAGCCATTAATGGGATGTTTTGATAATGTGCTCTTTTACCTTTCTGAGGACTAGACCTTTCCCCAGGTTAGCCCAAAACCAAGTTGTCCAATACAGTTTGGCTGTGTCCCTACCCAAATCTCATCTTGAATTGTAGTTCCTATATTCCCCGTGTGTTGTGGGAGGAACCCAGTGGGAGGTAATTCAATTATGAGAACAGTTAACCTCATGCTGTTCTCCTGATAGTGAGTGAGTTCTCACAAGATTTATGGTTTTATAAGGGGCTTTCCCCGCTTTTGCTCAGCACTGCTCTCTCCTACCATCATGTGAGGAAGGACATGTTTGCTTCTCCTTCCACTATGATCCTGAGGCCTCCCCAGCCATATGGAACTGTGAGTCAATTAAACCTCTTTCCTTTATAAATTACTCAGTCTCAGGTATTTCTTCATAGCAGTGTAAGGACAGACTAATACAGTCTGTATGAGAAGTGCAGTGTTTGTTACAGACAGAATGAAAAGAGAAAGAATAAGGTAATGGTCAACTTTTAACATGCAAAATGGGATTTTTCAGTAGGTCTTGAGATCCAAGACGACACTATTTTAAAAGTTATAGAGGGGATAATCTGAACAGAGTCCACATGGGAGGTCCATTTTGGAACTTAAAGTTGTCTACACCACCAGTGCCAACTGACATGAGGCTGAATCACCCAGGGAATACTACCAGGCTCTGACCTAGTCAAGAGAAAACAAACTACAACCTAAACCTGTCATTGACTTCGGGTGTGATGTGATGTGATACCAAGATAATGATGTGATACCTACACTCAGTGTGGATCCAAGGACCACATTTAGCTTCAAATTCATGTTCTCTTTCACCCATCTTCCCCTTACTCTCAGACACCTAGAAACAAAGTAAAGGATAGAAACAGAGGGAAACACTTTTATCTAAGAGAAATTGAGTAATACCTAAAGGTACTATTAAACCGCAGAGTCAGACCTCAAGTAAACATATTGGACATTTAGGTAATTTTCTTACTAACCATTTCAGGAGAAAGGCTGATTGGATAAATCAAGAAGTTACATTTGCTCACCACATCTGAACTGATTTGTGAGTTAAATATTTGCTATCCTGCTACACTGGTTAATGAATTAAAATTAAAAGAAAATTTAAAAAGAAAATCAGGTAAAATTTTTATTGCATTTCAAACTCTCAGCTAATTGGAAAATATTTGTATTATCTAAGCACATATACTTACATCCACTTATCCTGAAAGAATCAAGTATGATAAGTAAAAGCACTTTCTCTTAACATTTGGCAGAGAGGAAAATTGGATATATTCTAAACTTTATAATAGTATAACTCAAAAAATTTTTAAAACAATAATATACTTCATAGGCTGACTTTATGTAACTACAGTAGTTTCCTTTAAATATACAAATGTCTTTTAAAAATATACATTGTTACAGGAAAGTTATTTTTCTTCTTGTGCAATTGATAGCATCACAGAAAAAGGCAAATCACTACACATTTGCCTGTCATTAATATTGACTGAAATCGCAAGCCATTTTCTACCCATAAGCTTCCTGCCTATTCTACATGTTATTACTTTGTGCCAAAGATGGAAATTTATCATAAATAAATTCAATGCATATTAAAGAGAGGAAGCATTCTCATGGCAGAGGTGGGGAGCACTTTTTGTTTCCACTTGTTTATAAGGGAATATTTTATTCATTTCTTACTCTCTCTCCGGGGTAGCATGCAAACAGAGTCACTCAACTGTTTCTTGCAGCCCCACTCTGTCCCTCTGTCTCCATGCATATGTTTGACTTAGATGAGCCTCTCTGGGCATTTGGGAATGCATGAAGTGAGCTAAGCCTCCCTGATGAGGGTTGCCATTTCTGAGACGAAGCTCTTGCCTGACTGCTTGCTGTAGTTGCAGCTAAAGTCTGGAGAGCTGCTGGGACCTTGTGCAAAGGCTCACGGCAGCTGCACTATCAGGTGGCCAGCCTGGCGCTCCCTCCCTGGCCACCACTGCCTCTGACCACAGTACAGTGTAATTCAATAGAACTCAAATCTTTAGCTGCCTAGAGCAGCCAGGCAGCAAGCCCAGAGGCCCTTTCAAATCAGGGTTTTTACAGTTATTTTAATCCACGGGAGATGCCAGCATTTCTCTGCCTCCCAAAGACAAGCAAAACTGTACAAACAGATGCTAGTAAGATACAAAATCTTAAGGAGAAAGTTGAGCCAGATTCTCTCATGGGAAAAAATGAGAGCAAATGTATGTATATTGTTCATTGTGCTAATCTGCTGTATATTTTCATGTCTCAAGGACATATTCAGGTAGGAAATGATACAATAAATAAATGGTGAGTGAAAGTGTTGGATTAGGTTGGACACTAAATCACTGATAGTTAATAGTGATTTAACTCTGCTGGGTCATCCAGATTTGTCTTAGCACTAGTTATTACACAAATCTGGGAAGCAATACCAACCACATAACCTAGGAAAAGCAGTACAGCGTGGTAGTTAGACCAGCACAGCTTCTGGGATCAGGCTGCCTAGGCTCAAAGCCTGCTCTGCCATTTACGAGTGATGAAAATTTGACCACATTTGTAACCTCTCTGTGCCCTCTGAGATGAGAAAGATGATGATAACTATAGTGAGGATTAAGTGAGTAAATTTATGCAAAGAATATAAAGCAGTATCTGGCACACAGTAGGTGCTATTCAAAGTGTAATCTGTAGATCAGCAGCATCTGCATCATCCAGGAGCTTATTAAAAATGCAGATCTCCAGGCCCTGTCCCAGACTGACTGCATCAGAGTCTGTATTTCAGCAAAATTTCTATTGACATTAAACATCAGAGAAGCATTGCTATGTAAATGTTGGTGTTGCTATTTCAGATTGGCTTTAACTAGCTTATGTTGTCAGGGTGAGAGAGGCACCCCTGCTGATTTGCATTTTCTTTCCAGCCTCTGAGCTCAAAGGAGAGACTTTTTCCTCTCTGACACTGGTCTCTGATTATCCTTACATCATGGCAAAGAGTGGACCGTATGCTTGTGAACCTGCCTTCTGTATCATCCTCAACCTGCATCCCAATCTTTTTTTTTTTTTTTTTTGAGACAGAGTCTCACTCTGTCACCCAGGCTGGAGTACACTCTGTCACCCAGGCTGGAGTACAGTGGTACAACCTTGGCTCACTTCAACCTCCACTCCCAGGTTCAAACGATTCTCCTGCCTCAGCATCCCAAGTACCTGGGACTACAGGCACCTGCCACCACACCTGGCTAATTTTTGTATTTTTAGTAGAGATGGGGTTTCACCATGTTGGCCAGGCTGGTCTTGAACTCCTGACGTCAAATGATCCACCCACCTCGGCCTTCCAAAGTGCTGGGATTACAGGGTTGAGCCACCATGCCTGGACTGCATCCCAATGTTTAATGTTTACTTTGTATGCAGATCCCAGTGTTTCTGACTCCAGTCAGCTAATTTAACCCCAAGTCTCCATTATTGTCTTTGCTTGTCAGCTTTATTTGATGTCTTAAATTATACACTGCATCCTGATACCTTCGCTGCTCAGTTGGAAGATTCTATGCCCAATTGCCCTTCCTGATCAAAGTAAGGAGAACATTAGGAATATATTAGGAGAAATAAAAGAGTTGGGATTATTTAACACTTCCCTCCTAGGCTCCACACTGCACAGAAACAGAAACATTTGATTTTTATAGTTGTCTCCAAGAGGCAATTTTCTAACAGAGATTTTATTGCAGAGAAGAGAGCTTGGCTTTTAAACAATGCAAAGGTCAACAAAGCAAAATTTGCTCTGTTTATGGTATGGGTGTGACATTTGGACCTCTTAGCATCCAACATTCTATTGGCTTTAGGAAAGAGCTCATCACCACACCTGCTTGCTTTATTTCACATTAAATGGTCTTTAGTTAAGAGGTTTGGAAACAGAAATTTTCCATAGGCATTCATGCCAAGCTTATCACAGTTCCATGATGCTTGGTCAATAATGCAATGAGAATGGATGACACCAGGATACCAGGGCCCTTGGTGTGAGGTGAATTGAAGGAATGTAATTGTATGTGAAATGGACAGAAGAAATGCTTCAAGGGCACACTGGCACCTAACTTAAAGTAGCAAAGCAGCTCTGTTGAGAGGCAGGAATTCACAGCAATAAGCCTTGTATCCTGCCATGGATCAAATTGGAAAAGGGGAAATTCTAGTTATTTGTGGACTGTGAGATTAATGTGACTCACAAGCGATTTCAATCGTGGATGTCCAAACTGCTTGGAAGAACTGCTCAGCCATCCACAATTATTGATTGCTTCCTCTGTGTACAGCACCGTGAAAGCAGCTGAGGGACAAAAAGAAGTATAAAACCTAGGTCCTTTCCGCCAAAGAACTTACAATATACCCACATCTACATGAAAGAAAATAAAATTTTGCAGAGGTAAGTTGAAGGCTCTAAACAAATAAGACAGGAAGATTCTTCTCTTTAGAGGGGTCAAGACAGCATGAGTGATGGATGGCTGCATGCATTTTTTGATACTTTACTGCTAACTTAGACAGAATTATCTATCTAATCACTGGAAGAGCTGGACAACCACAGGCCATTCCACAAAGACAGGGCCTTACTGCATGGCAAAGAGCAGAACAAATGCACTCTGTCTGTAGGCAGGCATCTAGGAAAGTGAACATAGAAAGTCCGGTGGACATTAGATTACTTCATGCTGGCTTAGCACTTTCTTCAAAGCTCACCAATCAGAAAAGCTATTTCTCCTCCCTGGAAATACATCCTCTTCTCATCTGCCTACCTGCTATCATTGCCTGGAGTTTATGCTATTGTTAATTGACTCTGTAAATTGAAATCTGTGCAAGAAACCAAATGAACAAATAAACACTGTCACCATTATTTATCTTTCTTTAAATCTGTGTTTTTGTGATGACAATGTGTATATATATTGAATGTCTATCTAGTGTTTTCTTCTCATTAAACTAGTTTTTCTGTGTTTGATATAGCATTGTAACTATAAAATAAAGCTTTAGAATAAAGATTGTATGATGTAAAAGTTGTGACCTCTTTCTCTAAGAAATATGTTACATCCTTATATTTCATTGTGGTGATTGTCTTGAAGGTCTTAATATAGATGACTGTTGGAAAGCTCCTTTCTCATCAGCCTCATTGAGAACTGTTAAAGAAACACTTATAATAAGACAAGAGAAGGCTCGGGAGAAACAAGAAAACTACAGTGTTTGGACTGTTACGTGGAAGGCAGATAAGATTTACTCTGTGGCCTCATTTCATGTAACTAAGGGCAAAGACTAGAAGTTATGTGGAGATATTTTACTTACGTAGGAGGAAAATTTTTCCAACGATGTGAACCAATTAAATATTGAAAAGGGTTGTCTTGGGAGACTGTGAATTTTCCTTGCTTAGAAATGTATCAACCAAATCACATTTTTTTTTAAGGTTAGTTTAAGCATCAGATTGCTGGTGGCTAGATCAGAAGCTCCTAAAAGCCTCTTCTAAAACTAGTGGCCTCATTGACTGTTAGATTAATCCAGGGAATGTATAAAATATAAAGATTACTGGATAGAGGTTATGATCCAGTGAGATTTGGGAGAGCCCCATAATGTGGATCAGAGTTTCCCAACAGGTATAATATGCCATGGATGGGCCTGTGTTGAGGGTGATGGAGTTCAGGATACTCTACCCCAAAATGTGATGCCTTGGCATTTGAGAAAACAGTGAAAACAGGAAAGTCTCTCTGACCTCCGGCCATTCCTCTCTGAAGCAGGCCATAAAACCCCAAAAGGTCATTCACTGGCCTTCTTCCCTTCTCTCCGAAGACCCTCATGAAAATGTACCCTGCCCTATACCTGGAGGAAAGGAACAAAGACACAGAGATGCCAAGAAGAATCTGAACAGATGGGCTTTGCTAAATTCCTCCCAGTTTATTACCATTAGATCATACCTCCTTTTGTTCAATCATACTTCTACATAACTGTCTACTTGCCATCAAACCTAAGCATAAAAATACATAGTTTTATCTGTTTCATGGAACTACCTTTGGGTCTTCAATTCTGAAGGCTCTCGTGTCATGTAAAATTTATACTAAATAAATGTATATGATTTTCTCTTGCTAATCTGACTTTTATTATATGTGCTTCCACCATGAACCTAATAATGAGTGAGGGAAAGAGCATTACTTTTTCTCCTCTACAGGTGTCCTCAAGAGCACCCTTGGGCTCTATGATTCACTAGAAGGACCCACAGGACTCAGGAAAGCTCTTAGACTTATGATTGTGGTTTATTGTGAAAGGATACAAATTAATGTCAACAAAGGTAAAAGGACATCAGGTGCAAGCTTCCAGGTGTCCCCTCTCAGTTGAAGTTGCATGGGAATGAATTTAATTCTTCCAGCAACAATGTGTGACAACACGTGCAAAGTATTGCCAACCAGATAAACTCACTCAAGCCTTGGTGTCTAGGGTTTTCACTGGGGGTCAGTCACTTAGGCAATCAGCACCTGAGTGACTGATCTTAGTTATTCAATCTCTAGCACTCCAGAGATCATACGGAGTACATAGCATGGTCCACAGCTTTGGGCATACAAAACAACCACTCTTATCAGACAGGATATTTTGAGGGCTCAAAGGTTACCACCCAGGAGTCTGTCAAGGGCCAGTCCTTTTTTTTTTTTTTTGAAAATGCAGTGTTTGAGTAATCATAGCCTGCTGAATTAACCCTTCAGTGTACACATAGATACAGTTGTGGCTGGAGATATTGATCCCGTCCGTTCTCAGTAGGCCAGTGATGCCAGGCCTGGCATCTTAGCCATGAGCAGCCTCTTCTGGGCTTCTTTAGGGTCTGATGTAGGTGGAGTAGGAAAATGTTGGGAAGCACTGACATATATTTAAATACCTCTCCAGGTGATTCTAATGAACACTGAATGTTGGGACCTTTGTGAGTAGATGATTTTTAAGAATTTTGAAACTGTTGCTTCTATGAGTATTGAAGTTATAGTTTCTTGCAGATGTCTTTCACTTTATCTGGATTCTTATTTGCTTAAGTTTAGTTTCTGGCCAAAGATAGTACATTTTGGAGAAGTATTTCAAACAAATGCTACGGCCCCTGTTAAGTTGAAGAGAAAACATTCCAAGTGCATTCCCAGATGAGGAGGCATCAGGAAACCCTCAGGTTAAAGGGCACTTATACTAACAGGGAGATGGGTGGGGTAGGTCCTCTAATAGGCTTTATAAAGACCTTAGGACAAAAGACTCTTGTCATTGAAAAATAATGTAATGAAAAGATGTGTAACAAATGATTGAACGATGGTGTTTTCAATTTTGTGGAATTTCTATTTTGCGGGAACTCTGGCATGTCACATGTCTCTCTAGGTCCCATTATCTTATTAGCTAGTTAGAATTAAATAAAACTACATCTGCATGATTATAGTGCTAAATATAAAGAGTATTTCTGAGAAATTTGCAAATGTAAATGTTAAATTAATTACCAGCCTAAAATTTTGTAGTCTCTAAAGTTAGTTTATAGCACATGATATGCCCACTTAGGTTATATGTTCTAAAAATGAATTAATTTGCATTTTGGTATAAGCTTTCGTCTTTGTAATTTGCTTTGAGCACAAACACTAGGTCTCTTTTATTTTCTTCCCTACATATTACTGTGCTCTCTACGCTTCTAAGATTATTTTCATTCCTCGGTCTCTCCCTCTCCTTTAATGTTCTCTCATTCTCCTTTTTTTTTAGAACCTCATTCCTGTCCCTTAAATATAGTCGTGCCCAATTATATTTATAAGGTCCTATTCTCAGTGGTTTATTTATTTATTTATTTTGCTAATTCCTACAGAAAAGTAATTAAATAACAAATGTGTATTGAGTGCCTACTCTGTGCCAAACAGTGTACAAGGCACTAGGGGCAGGCAGGGACTTGAAGGTCAAAGAAAGACCCTGGCCTCAAAAGCTCAGACTTTGCCTCTCACAAATTTGATGAGATTAATAATTTGTATTCAGTTCCCCTCCTCTGCAGTTCCAACCTCAAATTGCAAACAAAACCCCTCTTTTTGGAAGTCCTCTTGGCAGTGCATCCCCAATGCAGAAAAATACCAAAGTCACTATTTTTCCCTGTAAACCTACTCCTTTTTTTGTGTGTGTTCCTTTTCTCTATTAAATAACATTATCCCAAGCTCCCATATTAGTAAGCTTGTCCTCCTCTGTGTAGCTACTCAGCCACTAATTCTGTTTTATTTTGCCTGTGATATGCCTCTCAAGTACATATCCTTTTCTCCATTGCCGCTGTCTTAGCATAGGCCCCTGTCAGCTCTTGCTGGCACAGGGACAGCAGCCTCCTAATTGTGTTTATGCTTCCAGGTTATCACATGGCCCCAGAATTGTCTTTCTACTCACACACTTTTCTGCATGTTGTTTTTTGCTTACTTTCAGTGTAGCACATAACCCTTCCTGACGTGGTCCTAACTATTCTTTCATCCTCCATCACTTTCACTTGTGCTCTTGTGCCCAGGCAGCACTGAACTACGCAGAATTCCCTGCACAATCCCATGTCTTTCCATGCCTCAGTGCCTCTGATGACCCATGGGCCTGGATGCCCTTTCTCCCCATCTTTGCTTGATAAACTTCAATGGTCAAGGGCTAGTTCAGGTCCTTCTTCGGTGAACCTGTCTCCATATTTCCCAGGTAGCTGTTTCCACATCTTCCAGTTATTTGGTTATATTTCTCTTATAACACTTTTCACGCAGTAGTTTGTATTCTCCGGATCTTGTTTCATATCTGGAACAGATGATCAATTCTTTTTCTTTGTCTTTCTTTTTTTGATGGCTGTTGGATGAGCAAAATAAAATTTGTCATACTTTTATATCTAAGGTTCTGTATCTATGTAATCCTTCACAACTTATTTTAGCCTTAGTAAAAGACTGAGTTGTTGAACAGTAGATGTATTTAATTTTTAATATTTAATTAATTAAGTGCCATTGTGAGATGTGAGTTTTGACTTGCTGGGTTTACATTTAGCTGAGAATTACATCTTAGTACAAAAATAGAATTCTTTTTTTTATATCTCTAACTTTCCTTTCTTAAAATATATTCCGATAGAGGAGTTGCACCTGAAAAATTAAGATAGTCCACTTTGCCTAACATATTTTCGGCAGGTAGTTTGAAGGAACCAAAAACATTCTGAGATTTTGCAAAGCATAATTGCTTTCGATTCTATGCCTATATTGTTCTTAATATTGTACTTTACACTTTAATGAAGTGTAAAGTATTGAATAATAATATGACTTCTTTTTCTTCCTTCATGGGTTAGTAGGGATATAAATGATAGGAAGGCATATAGTTAATTCCATTTATTCTATTTATTCATTCATAAATGGGTCATGTACCTATTATCACCATTTTCCATGGTAGGATTATTGAGTCCAGTTATTATGTGAATCTTTGGGTTTTCCTTTCAATTCCAGGTATTGTAACCTGATATGTGAGTCAGTTTATTATTGTTGCAGTGTGCTCCAGGAATACATTCCTACTAATCTGATTGTCTCCACAGGGTAGATTTTGCAGATACACTTCAACTCATTTACAGTTCAGGACAGCATGAGAGCAGGGGGATAATAAAGATTTAGTAATGTTATTGGTGTATTTGGCTGCATATGGATATTTGTATTTTTCCAGATTTGTCTTGGATTTAGTGTTATTTCTGAGGGATTTTTCTTTTCAGTGAGTTTCATCTAAGATTGTTAAGAAGCATAGAAAGAATAGACAAGATTCTCCTTGACTAAACATTTAAATATAAAAGCACTCGGGATACAGTATAGAATGGAAATAAAAATTGGGAAAAGTGTTAAACTGACCCCAAACATTAACTGTTTATAGTGGATTGAGTGGTTCCAAGCTGTAGAGGGAACTATCCAAAATGGTACAATTAAAATAAAAATGAATTTTAAATACTCATTCCCCCAATTAAGTGTGTGCTGTTATGACACTTCAGCTATTACTCATTAATTACTGCATAATTTGTGAGGCAAATTAAACAGATCTATAGCCATTGGATAAATGATCCACACTCCAGCAGCTTGCAACTGTCTGTGGTTCCTTGCACATACTAGGTGTTTTTATTCCTGTTTTGTCTTTACTGATTTAGTCCCATCTGCTGGAGTATACATAACTTCTGCTCAGTCCTTAAGGCTCATAGCAGGTGACACTGATTGCAGGATATTTTCTTGTTACTCTCAGGCTGGGATAGGTGCCTCTATTTTACATAAGTCTATCACTGTATTTTTCCATCCCATTTTTACAATTACCTTTCACATGTTGGTTTCTACTATTAGACTATGAGGTCCTTGAAATTAGGGGTTGTTCTTTATTCACCAATACTTCACTCTATGTTTTCAGTCTAGTAGTAAATACTGTACAAGTGTCTGTAGAGTGAATACATGAAGCCAACTCTCAGAAACTAGAATTTTCATTGCTGTGAAGCACTATTGAAAACTCTTATTTGGAAAGCTGAATTAAACATATTATCACCTACATTTTGTGGACACATCTGAATCACTGCATTAAATTACTGTGTTTAATTTAGTCTAAAATAAAAGCAATATCTTTGTCCTCTAGTTTTTTAAGGGATATATTTTTAAAACAGAAAGGGAAAAATTGTAAGTGTAAATTGCTTCCCAATATAATCTCTTGAGTTCATATTTAATAAAGATAAGTTAATAAACAATTATTCCATGTGTGAGGGTATTTGTACATAAATCACTTAGTCTGGCTTGGATTTAACATTGATAGGACATAATTGATCTTTAACAGACTGTGAAATTAAAGGTGGTTGAATCATTTAACTTTGCCTTTCCGTCAAGCAGACACCTGTTTTCTTGGTAGTGGAAATCTTGTTTTATATGCATTATTGACCAGTCCATTAATTAACCGTCTCACAATAATTAACATCATGTTACCTTTTAGTTTATATCAGGAAAACCTACCAGAGTTTTCTAATCTGTTAAACTGCTGATAAACTGCCAGCTAGAGTTTTTCCCACTCCCCCAAAATGTTTAAAGGTGTCATGAATGAGGTATATTATGTTTTCTGGCTCATGATTTGGCAATCCAGTTTGTCATTACATATTACACAGAGTTGTCATGGATAAGAAGAGGTGGAAAATGTCCAGTAAGCCAGTTTTACTCTGCTTCTGTCAATTTATAACAAGCTGCCCCTTGAAATTTACTTTCTGATTATTCATAAGTATTGTCACTGTTCTTGGAAAAGGAAAAATGAAAAGTGCACAATAGGCCAGGCATGGTGGTTCACACCTGTAATTCCAGCACTTTGGAAGGCCAAGGCGGGTGGATCACCTGAGGTCAGGAGTTCAAGACCAGCCTGACCAACATGGTGAAACCCTGTCTCTACTAAAAATACAAAAAATTAGTCAGGCATGGTGGTGGGTGCCTGTAATTCCAGCTACTTGGGAGGCTGAGGCAGGAGAATTGCTTGAACCCAGGAGGTGGTGGTTGCAGTGAGCTGAGATTGCACCACTGCAAGCCAGCCTGGGTGACAGAACAAAACTCCATCTCAAAAAAAAAAAAAAAGAAAGAAAAGAAAAATACACAATAGTCAAAGTTTGTCACTGAAATCTTTGGAAAGTATTGCATGTTTATGTATTTGTCTCATCCCCAAAATTAATGGTTCATGAGGTCACCTATATTACTTTCCTATTGCTACTATAAGAAATTACCACAGTCCAGGAGCGGTGGCTCATGCCCATAGTCCCAGCACTTTGGGAGGCCAGTGCAGGAGGATCACTTGAACCCAGGAGTTTGTGACCAGCTTGGGTTACATAGTGAGATCTCATCTCCACAAAAAATTTAAAAATTAGTGGAGTGTGGTGGCACGCACCTGTAATCCTAACTACTCAGGAGGTTCAGGCGGGAGGATCGCTTGAGCCCAGGAGTTGGAGGTTGCAGTGAGCTATTATTGCACTGCTGCACTCCAGCCTGAGTGATAGAACAAATCCTGTTGCTAAGAAAAATAAAAAAGAAAGAAATTACCACAAACTTAGTGTCTTAAAATACCACAAATTTACTAGTTTACCTCAGTCCAAAATGGGTTTCACTAAGCTATAATCATAGTGTCAGCAGGATTCATTCTGGAGGCTTGAGCAAAGAATCTGTCTTCTTAGCTTTTCCAGCTTCTAGAGGCCACCTGCAACCCTTGGCTCATGACATAGTCCTCCATCTTCAAAATCAGCAACCACATCACTCTGACCTTTACTTTGATTACATTGGGCTGCCCACATAATCCAAGATAATCTCTCCATCTCAAGGCATTTAATCATGTCAGCAAAATCCCTTTTGCTCTGTGTGTTAGGGATCCCCAAGAACACTCCCAAGTTTAATTCTTTTTTTCTTTTTTAATTATACTTTAAGTTCTAGGGTACATGTACACAACGTGCAGGTTTGTTACATATGTATACATGTGCCATGTTGGTGTGCTGCACCCATTAACTCGTCATTTACATTAGGTATATCTCCTAATGCTATCCCTCCCCCATCCCCCCACCCCACGGCAGGTGCCAGTGTGTGGTGTTCCCCACCCTGTGTCCAAGTGTTCTCATTGTTCAATTCCCACCTATGAGTGAGAACATGCAGTGTTTGGTTTTCTGTCCTTGCGATAGTTTGCTCAGAAATTGTTTCCAGCTTCATCCATGTCCCTACAAAGGACATGAACTCATCCTTTTTTATGGCTGCATAGTATTCTATGGTGTATATGTGCCACATTTTCTTAATCCAGTCTATCATTGATGGACATTTGGGTTGGTTCCAAGTCTTTGCTATTGTGAATAGTGCCACAATAAACTCACGTGTGCATGTGTCTTTATAGCAGCATGATTTATAATCCTTTGGGTATATACCCAGTAATGGGATGGCTGGGTCAAATGGTATTTCTAGTTCTAGATCCTTGAGGAATTGCCACACTGTCTTCCACAATTGTTGAACTAGTTTACAGTCCCACCAACAGTGTAAAAGGAACACTCCCAAGTTTAATTCTTTGCTAGGAGGACTCACAGGTTTCAGCATATAGTCATACTCACAGCTATGATTTATTATGGCAGAAAACACCCAAAACAAATCAAAGCCAGTCAAGAGAAAGGCCCTTGGGCAAAGTTGAAGAAATTGTGCACAAAGTTTCCAGGGTCCTCTCTCGATGGAGTCACCAAGGATGTGCTTAATTCTCCCAGCAATGGGTTGTGACAACACATGTAAAATATTATTAACTGAAGCAAGTCATTAGAGACTTAGTGTCTACAGTTTTTTCTGGGGCTGGTCATATAGGCAACTTCTACCTATCACGTTCTAAAATTCCAGACTCCCAAAAGCAAAGGAGGCATTCAGCATAAACTATATTGTTTGCCAAAACATTTTAAGCACAGTGAGCAACCCTTATCAGTTAACAGTGGGAACCCTCTAAAGTCTAAATTCCCAGATACTATCTAAGGGCCAATCCTAGAGGTAGGCCTTTTCAAGAATAGCAATTTAAAACTGCTGTTTTAACTCGTTTCTTCATACCATATAAGGTAATTTATTTGCAGGTTTCAGGGATTAGGGTGCAGACATTTTGTTTTTTTATTATTATACTTTATGTTCTGGGTTACATGTGCAGAACGTGCAGTTTTGTTACACAGGTATGTACATGTCATTGTGGTTTGCTGCACCCATCAACCCGTCACCTACATTAGGTATTTCTCCTAATGCTATCCCTCCCCTAGCCCCCAACCCCACACAGGCCCCAGTGTGTGATGATCCCCTCCCTGTGTCCATGTGTTCTCATTGTTCAACTCCCACTTATGAGTGAGAACATGCGGTGTTTCATTTTCTGATCTTGTGATAGTTTGCTGAGAATGATGGTTTCCAGCGTCATCCATGTCCCTGCAAAGGACATGAACTCATCCTTTTTTATGGCTGCATAGTATTCCATGGTATATATGGGCCACATTTTCTTAATCCAGTCTATCATTGATGGACATTTGGGTTGGTTCCAAGACTTTGCTATTGTGAACAGTGCCGTGATAAACATATGTGTGCATGTGTCTTTATTGTAGAATGATTTATAATCCTGTGGGTATATGCCCAGTAAAGGGATGGCTGGGTCAAATGGTATTTCTGGTTCTAGATCCTTGAGGAATCACCACACTGTCTTCCACAATTGTTGAACTAATTTACACTCCCACCAAAAGTGTAAAAGCATTCCTATTTTTCCACAATCTCTGCAGGATCTGTTGTTTCCTGACTTTTTAATGATCGCCATTCTAACTGGCATAAGATGGTATCTCATTGCGGTTTTGATTTGCATTTCTCTAATAAGCAGTGATGATGAGCATATTTTCATATGTCTGTTGGTTGCATAAATGTCTTCTTTTGAGAAGTGTCTGTTCATATCCCTTGCCCATTTTTTGATGAGGTTGTTTGCTTTATTCTTGTAAATTTAAGTTCCTTGTAGATTCTGGATATTAGCCCTTTGTCAGATGGATACATTGCACAAATCTTCTCCCATTCTGTAGGTTGTCTGTTCACTCTGATGATAGTTTCTTTTGCTTTTCAGAAGCTCTTTAGTTTAATTAGATCCCATTTGTCAATTTTGGCTTTTGTTTCCATTGCTTTTGATGTTTTAGACATGAAGTCTTTGCCCATGCCTATGTCCTGAATGGTATTGTCCAGGTTTTCTTTTAGGATTTTAATGGTCCTAGGTCTTATGTTTAAGTCTTTGATCATCTTGAATTGATTTTTTTATAAGGTGTAAGGAAGGGGTCCAGTTTCAGTTTTCTAGGGTGCAGACATGTTTTAAGGGGAGACATTATTCTGCCTACAACGTCCTTATTTTTTTGTATACTCACAACTCTTGCCCAGTGTCTTGCATTTAGTGCGTGCATGGGAAGTTTTCCTGTGGACCATGATTTGGCATATTCTCCTGTGGCCTGGGCTTAGGAAATGTCATTAACATCCACCTAGTACCTGAATAGAAAAATCTACTTTGGTCCTTTCCTTTTTTCTGTCCTTCATATTCAATCAATCACGAAGTCCCACTGATTCTACTCTCTAAGCATTTTTTTTATTTCCTTTGGATTCACAACTATACTACCACTGTAGTTCAGGCCACCATAACTTCTTGACTATCTTTGTCTATAAACCCTGGGCTGGTTTCAAGCTCTAGTTCTGCTTCCCTCCAATCCTTCCTCCAGGCAGAAACAAGTGTGTTCTTTTAGAACACAAATCAAATAGTGTTATTGCCCTATTAATAACCCTTCAATCGTCTCTGTACTTCTCCAGGCTCAATTTTTACCCTCTTGCCTTGCACATATACAGTTTCCAGTCACATTGAATTTCTCTTGGTTTCTCAAACAGACAGTTTCCCTCAGGTCTTACGTGAGTTTGTTCCTTTGTACTAAACACTTTCCCCTTTCTTTGCCAAGTTAATTCTGCTTATCCCTTTACTTGGGTCTCAGCATAAACTTTTCTTTCTCAGGGAGATCTCACCAGGCTTCTAAATAGATTAGGTCCCTTTACTACCTACTCCTTGGTACCTGAACTTTCCCTATCATTCCACTCATCCACAAAGTTATGATTTTGTGTATCTCTCTATTAGATGATACTCTCCACTATGGTAGAGTCTCTGCTTTGTTTTCTTTTATTTCACTAATAGCTAGCACATGAAATTGGGCATACTAGGTTTTCAATAAATATTTCCTAAATTAGTGAATGGATTACTACCTAAGGCTGTTAAGAGTGATCGTATGGCAGCTTTGGAAAACAGCCTGGTAGTTCCTCAAATGGTCAAACATAGAGTTACTCTATGACCTAGCAATTTCACCTCCATGTATGTATTCAAGAGAAATGAAAACATACATTAGTGATTTTCCAGAGCTGAGGAAGTTGGAAAGAAATGGGGAGTGACTGCTGAGTACGGGGGTTCCATTCTGAGGTAATGACAATGTTATAAAGCTGATTATTATAATGGTTGCACAATTTTGTGAATATATTAAAAACTATTAAATGGTGCACAATTTGTATATTGTACAGTATATGTGTTGTATGTCAATAAAGCTGTTATTAAAAAAGAATGATTGAAAACCAGCCAATGTATCATTCAACTTTGAAAGACAGCTGATGTCTAATATAGATTAAGAAGAACATTAAGTTCAAGAAATACTAATTGAATGAGTGAATAGCCTACTATCTTCCCAAGACTACTGCATTCTGTGTTGACTAAAATGTCCAGTCAGCTAGTTCACTTCACAACTCAAGCACTCACATACATGCTTTTCCTTGGGTTGACTGTTGTACTTTGGTAAGAAGCAGAAGGGCTTTATGTATATTACATAAAATATTTTAAAAAGGAATGAATTCAAGGGTTGAGATTTAATAAAATTAATACTTTTAAGTGATTCATCAAGAACACCCTTAACTAACACTTGCTCCCCCTCATCCTTTGCCCCAGCCACTGCTAGTGTGTGGTACAGGGTAATGAATGCAATGACTGATTCAGGTTTAGGTGCCAGCAGGTGTCCTCATTATTGCTTTTGCAATAGTGTAATATCACCTTAGTGAAGAAGGCAAGTAGCTTCTTAGCATGAAATTAGTTTTGACCAAATGATTGTCCTGAAAGGATCTCAAGGAATCCATGCAGTTCTGTAGACCACAGTGTGAGCACTGCTGTCCTAAGTGATATAAAATCACAGAAGCCTTATAACAAAGGTTCAGAATGTGTTTACAGATCTCCCTGGTATTCAATATTAGGTTGTGCCCAAGTGGTCCTTGCTTTTAGGATTGATAATCATTGCAATCAAGGTGGAAATTATTTGGTCAAATTTCTTTTCTTTTTTTTAAGACAGGATCTCTCTCTGTTATCCAAGCTGGAGTGTAGTGGCACAGTCACAGCTCACTGCAGCCTCAACCTCTGGGCTCAAGCAATCCTCCCATCTTAGCTTCCTGAGTAGCTGGGGTAACAGAAGTGTGTCACCACGCCCAGCATATTTTAAAGTTTTTTTGTAGAAATAGGGTCTCACTATGTTGCCTAGGCTGGTCTCAAACTCCTGGGCTCAAGCAATCCACCTGCCTTGGCCTCCCAGAGTTCTGGGATTGTAGACATGAGCCACTGTGCCAAGTTTCTCCTTAATGTGGTATACTTCTAATTAAGGAGACAGCATTGCTAATTGTTAAATAATTAGCATTTCTCTGCTTTTCACTGTCAGTGGATATATTAACAGCAATCACTTCAAACTTTGTTATCTCTGGTCTTAATGTTTTTTTTTCCTCTTCTGTTCTCTTCTCTCTTATCTAGAATAGTGAAATAAGGTGGCCAAGGAGGTAGAGATGGAGTCAGGGACTCTGTGGTAAGTAACCTTTCATGGTCTAAGAAGCTCATACCACTGCTCTGGATATCTTTTCTTAGAAGCTTTCTGAATGACTTATGGTAATAGATTGGAGATGGATTGAAACATTCTGGCTGCTCCACATCTGGGTACTGAGAAGCCTGCTACCAAATTCTTGATTTGAGTTAAAAGATGCCATTCAGGACACAGTTTCAGGCATAGTTAGGCTCAGCCCATGAATAATTTTCCAAGCATTGATGTAAGAGAAAAATTGCCAAAGTATTCTGTGATTTGCAATTAGATTTTAAGATATAGCTACCATAATTTGTGATAACACTGAAGGATAATGTACCAGTGGCAGTTTAGAGTTTTGCAATGTGTTAATGAAGGTTGTCTTTGTTTAGCTTTTTGTACGCATTTCTTCAGGGAACACTAAAATACTTCTTTGTGTTGCAGAAGATTTCTCAGCATGGCCAGGTGGCATTTAAAGAGCCTAATGAGAAAGATGACTTGGCTCCAAGTGGCAATGTCAAAAGATACATTGCAGCTGCCCTGTCTCAGAGGGCCTGGAACGAAACCAACATTCTCAATTACTGCCCAGTGCTAGCACATCACTACTCCTTCTCAGCATCGTCTTCTTCCAGCAGTATTCATGCCCTCTCTTCATCTGTTCAAGTGGGTGCTTTGGCATGAAGGAAGCCGTGCTTTATCTCCCAAATGCATCTTGCTGTCTTTGGCACATTTGTTATTTGTTGGTGGTGGTGACAGGACTCAGCTGTTTCATGACAGGCTTTGAGAGAGTGAATCAATTGTTATTGTTTTTCTTTTTGAAATACCCATCAGACTTTGTGATTCCCCTTTAAAAATGAAGGCTGTTTCATGTCACTATCAGGAAAAAGAAAAATAAGTCAGAGAAAATTATATCATTTCCACATTTGATTATATTCGGTAACTGGTCAGAAGAAAACTAAGCCTTGATTTTTCACAATGTTCATCTAGGTGGGAACAAATTCTAGATTTCTCAGAAATCTCATTTTATAGAAATATAGCATTAGGAGTATACTGATTTGGCCTTGGCTTTTAAAATTCCTTAGAAAGATAGACAGAGAGAGAGAGAGAGAGCAAGAAGAAAAAGAAAGAAAGGGAGAGACAGAGAAAGAAAGAAGGAAAGAAAGAAAGAGAAAGACAAAGACGAAGAAAGAGTGAGACTTTATTATTTCCAGCTTTTCACTGTCCCAGGAGGGCAGGAACCCTCTAAGAAGCACTTTGTGAGAATCCAGGAGATTGCTTCTCACTTGAATGGTATTTGAAATTTCCTGTGGACTGTGGATCTGAAATCTTAGGGTCAGGATGAAGGATTTGTGATCTAAGGCTTCTTGATCCTACCTCCTAAAAAACACAAATTAATATTGGTAGAACTCATCACCACAGGATTACTATCCAGCTGCATCAAATCCAGATAAAACTGAGTAATAAATTCACAAAGTTGAATGTTCTTTGTTTTTGAAGAATCAAGTTAAACCTTTTATGTCTGACACTGTTATTCAAAACCTAAACCAGTTCTAAGTTTAAAAACCATTGTAAGAAAACTTCAACTTCTTAAGGTTTTTAGAATGATATTTAAAATTTGGCTGAACCTAATTTATGGCTTAAAAAAGGAGGAAAGCCGGAACATATTCATGCCCTACCTTTGTATATGGTTCACATTCTGTGAAATAGTTTCCACAGCATTGTGCTAACAAGGGATACTGAAAAAAGAAGCTTCTTGAGGTCAGTGTCTCCTCTTGTTTTTACTAGCAATCAGCTAGTTTTGCCAGTTATGTGACCTTGAACAAAATCACCTTTCCATGCCTTAGTTTTCTCAACCGTGATATGGGAATAATAATAGTGATATCTTCTAGAGTTGCATAAGGATTAAAATAATAAATACAATAAAGCACTAGAACAGTGCCAGATACAAAAGAAACACTACATTAGGTGTTGTAGTTATGACTGAGATGATGCTAATTGTACAAGAAAAAAGATGAATAAAGAGAATGTAAGAGAGAGGAGAGAGAGAGAGAGAGAGAGAGACAGACAGACAGACGATCTTCTTCCTGACAAGGAAGGGGAAAGGAGTTAGTGGTGATAGCTGGCGTGTTTCTTGGCATTCTTGGCATTCTTTTTTGGAAACTAACTTTCTAAGTGGGTGGAGAGTTTTCTTGAAGAAGACGGCATGGTTCATGGAGGAAGGCTTCCCTTTGGGCACGGGGTCTTTTCAGCCTTGCCAAAGATTCCCACATCCCTGGGATCTGCAGAGCCGCGGACATGAGGACTAATCTCAGTCATGACTATGATAATCTCAACGGTGATTAGTGAAGACCCATGTATCTGGATTGGGGGTAGGGTGTGATGAGTCTGTTCTTCTCTACCTTTAGTGCTGTAACACACACAATCTCTGTGCATTCTTAAGGGAAGAAAAACTTAGTAGGCTGGGTACTTGGAGTTGAATTTAGGTTTGTTTAAAGGTGATAAAAAAATTCAATGTTTTTTGTGTACCTGGATTGTAGACTAAGATTTATACCCACTGCGTTAATTGGCTTTTGTAGTTATTGTTTATAGATGTGTTTTGGATGTTTCACATATGTATGTCCCATTTTTCAAAATATATCTTTGATAGTAGGGACCATTTAAAAATATCTGTCATAATTCTCCACTGTGCCAGAATATCACGAATATCACTCTGTGCACACAGCGAGTGTTTAGTCAATATTGACGTTCTGTACAGGGTCCCAGGATATGGTTCATAATCGGCTTACTGGGGTACAGAGGTATAACCATATCCCTTCACCAAGTCATATGATACAAAACTTTTATCAATATGTAACAGTTTTTTTCTTTGCACCAACTGAATACTGTCACTCAGAACTCTGTAAAATATGACATAGATTAAATGGATTGTGTGATGCAGTTTAGTTAATATAAAACTATCATTAAAGAAAGAGCATGTGAGAACATTTGTACCAGGAGGGTATAGACAGCTAAGATCAGGGCAGGAGACAGCTCTACTGAAACAGCCACACAGTGCAGAAAGGCTGCAAGGGAATGCATGAAGCCATAACTAGGGAAGCTTTAATGGAAATTGTGAGATGTCACATGATTTTCATGTTATTGTTAATGACTTTGATGATGATTTTGGTATTTAGTCTCTTTCAAGTACACCGTCAAAATTCTAGAATTCAAAAAAGTGTGACAAATACTGAAAAGTTAAGAATTACTGTTTTGGAATAATTATATCTTTTAAAAAATAGTTTGAGGCACTTGAATATTAGGAAGTTGATTCTTTCAACAGCATCTTTTTGGGCCAAAAAGAGTTATTTCAGCTGGATTGCCTCCTGCCTATTGTCCAGTGGTCAAGGAGATTTTAAGCAGCAAGGACAATGAGATCTTCTGGTATGACTTCCAACACTTCCATGCATGTCTTTGGAAAAGAAACAATTAGTCCAAATGTCTTTAGACAGTTTATGCAGGGGCTTAATGTTTGCATCAGTTTCCCTTGTTCTGTAAGTCACATAGGGTTGGTGCACACATGGGCCCAGGAAAATATTGTACACATAGGATATGTGTCACTGCTGAGAAACCCTGAGTTTAAAAACCCTCAAGCTGGTAAGGGGCTGCTGGTAAACCTGTCCAATCTTTCCTCTCTAGGAAAACATTATCTTTATTACCTTGGAATGTAAGCAAATCCCCCATGAAGAAGGCAGGGAGACTTTATTATCCTGAAGTGACTAAATAAATCTGCTCTCTGACCAGGAGAGTGACATTCTCTCTAGCTTCTATAGCTGTCTGTTATGCAAATATCCTTGAACAAAATTGTTATTGAGCAATCATTGATGTATAATGCACTGGGTTTAACACTGAGGAAGAAATGATAGAGACCATCAGATCTGAATTTGAATCTGAGTTTTGCTGCATACTAATTGGGTCATCTTGGGTGAGTTATTTAACTATTATTCCCTGTAAAGTGGAGAATAATATTTTCCTCTTCAAAGAGCTATTGAAATAAGTTACATAGTGTACTTCAAGCACCTGGCACTAAACAGAAATAATCACATTGTAAAAGTTAGGATGGCGTTAGGCTGAGAGTGCCGGAAAACTTGGCTATCAGTAGCTTAAAAGAAGACTTTTTTTCCCCCTTGCGTAAGTACAAGGCCAGAAGTAGATACCCAAGAGCCGGTTTGGTTGCTTATTAATGCTGCCAGAGATAGGCTTGCTCTGCCTTCCTTAACATGTGGCTCTTGTCATTATAGTTGCAAATGGTTGCTGTTCCTCTAGGCCTAAATCTACTTTCCAGGAAGGAAGAGAGTGGAAGGACCCAAAAGCCTTCTACTTGCAAACTTTGTATTTCTATTTTGGAGTGAAAGCCCTTCTCAGGGACTTCATTCACATACTAACTGGCAAATTCTGGGTTACGTAGCTACTTTTAGCTGGGAGATTGGACATTTTTAGTTAGGTACACAGTTTCCCCAAACAAAATCAAAATTCTGCTAAAAAGGAAGAAGGTGGAATAGCCCTGGCTAGTTGACTGGCAGTGTCTGCCACATACATTATACGTGTTCAGGCTGTTCATGTTCTAATACGGTACTTCCATGAGCAATAAAAACTTTCTGTCCTGCCAGTAAGAGACTCTAGCTGGTGTTCACTTTTTATTAGACATTTATATTTAAACTTAAAAAGGTTAATTCTACTTGATCCAGTGGTCAAAGGACAGATACATTCTCAGCTTCCAGATTTCAGACAATGTGAATAGCATATTTAGTGAACTCTAACGTAGAACAGAATTAACATGTTGTAGTTATTAGGCCTACTGGAAAGCCTTATCAGCCCTAACATAGGTAGCCTAATTATCACATATTTTAATTTCTTCTTCTTCATTAACAGGTACTATGGGGGGCATTTTCAATGAATTGGCTCTCAGTATTTTGGCTTTAAGCTTCTGTTTCCATCTTTATATTATCAAGAATTGTTCAGTTGGGTATCAAGTCATTCTATGGAGCCTAGTTTCTTGGTTGTGAATTAACCTGTAAGTTTAGGAATATTTATTTCAGTCCCTTTCTGTGGCATAAATGCTACTAAAATGTATTTCTCATTCCTTAACAGGAGAAAACTGAAAACAATCTTTCCTAATTTTGGTGATTCAGAATCACCTGTTAAGCATCAGTTATTATGAAATTTTATAGCCATAGCTATTGACATAAAACTCCTAGAGTCAACTCATTCTTTGTTTATTTGCTTCTTTTTCATAAAATGAAGCTGATTTGTGAGACCCTTTGGGCCAGTGTAATAGGCCACCCTCAAGAGTCATCATCATTCTTAAAGAAGTTTTCAATGCATTCACTGTTGCTCTTGTCCTTGACGTCTCACCCCCATTTAAATAATTATTTTTGGTATCTGTAACATCCATAGTTGGATCACAAGTACCAACCTATGAACTTACACCCACTTTCCCTTCTCATCTATACAAATTTCATTAACAAAGTAGAAGGGGATTCTCCCTCACCTTTTCAAAGAATTTTGAATGTATTTTGTGTGGGCTTATTCCAAAGCAGAACTCAGCGAACATTTTCTGTAAAGCGAAGACAGTCAGTATTTTAGTCTTTCTGGACCACATACAGTCTCTGTTATATATCCTTTTTTTTTCTTTCTTTTTTTTTTTTTCATTTGCAGCTTGAAGGGCCATACATAGATAGGTCAGATTTGGCCTGTAGGCGAAGTTCACTGACTCTTGTTCCAAAGCATATGGTTCTTTATCACTACAGCAGTGGTCTCCAAAATTTTTTAAAAGTGTATCCCTCTTAAAAAAGCTTCAAGAATGTACTCACAGCCTAGATACCAAAATGTTTATTTTATTTATAAGACATTACATGTTTGTATCAAACTAATAAATTATGTACATTATAAAACATGCTCAAAAATATAAATTTAAAAAGCATGAGATGAAATGTGAATGTAAATAGAAGTTCTAAAAGTTCTTTCTGTGCCCCAGGAGACCATCTTGCCTACTTTTTGGGCAATCTGCATTTCATCTTGGAGTTCTCCCTGTTGGAGGAAAAAGATGACGCTTGTCACATGACACTGGCCCACAATTTTCTAGAAGATCTTAATATCAGCCTTTATCTTGAGCCTACTTAAACCCAAGGGAACTTGCTTCATTTGGACCTGCCAAAATAAAGGTTGAAAAACATTGCAAGAATAGACTTAAAAAAATTAGTTCTCAAAGCTATTCAGAAAATAGACTATGATAGAAAATAAGCTCTTCAAGATTATAAGTCTCCTTCATAATTTATTATGAAGGATCATAATTTATTAACCATTTCATTTTTTTTCACTGGTGAATGTACAGTCTTTTAATGTGCTATCTCACTTGAAATGCCAAGGCTACCTTTTGGGAAACAGCATGGAATCCAGGTAAATGCATTTACTTTTGAAACCAGACTATTAAGTGACCAGTACCTAGAACTCAGGGCACTCTCAAATTGTTTTCTAAGAACCATTATTGAAGTGCTCTGCATTGGACCCAGCATGGTAGGTACCATGCTAAGTGCTTTACACACATTTCCTCATTCCTCCTCAATCTTAAGAGAGAAGTGCCACCACCCTTTTAGGTTAATTTTCTAAATGGTATAGAAAAACAGCACATAACAGAGCTGCTTTTAGATACCAATCATAGGCAAAACCAACTTGAACAAGCGTGAGGGGAAAAGAAAGTATGTTTGATTCATACCAGCAACCTGTGTTCACAAAGGGTGAAGGGGCAGCTGTTTCAGGGCAACTGGAAATAGGACTGGGAAGTTGGAGAACTCTGCCACTTCTCTCTGCTTTTCTCACTATGTGGGCTCCACTCCCTCTTCCTGCAGTGTCTTCCTCCTCATGGTGGGAAACAGGGCTGCCAGCAGCTGCCAGCTCATGTGTCCCAACTTCACCACCTGAGAGAGAGACCCTCTTCCTAAACCTGGTCCACTTCGCTGGCCAGGGTGTGCTGCCCTGACTGGCTCAACCCTGTAGGTGACTCTAACCTCTGCATCAATCATGGTCTGAAGGGCAAGAGATCAAACTAAGATTCTTAGTTTTGGATTCATGGAGTTTATAGTTGGCTATAGGTGAATTTTGGTGTACCAATGAATACATTACAATTTTTATGTGGAGTGTATGTATGAAATAGGTGCATATTTCTGGGGGTATGTCCATAACATCTATTTAGGAGATAGAACTCTCTTTTTGCTTGTTCAGTTACCTTGTTAACAATTGACCTTGGTTAACAATTCTTTATATTAAATTATTTCTGGAAAAATAGCTGGTGTGACTTCTAAGTGGCCACAGAGGTAGCATTTGCAGGAAGCTACTGCTACTCCTAGAGTTGAAGAAACAAAAAAAGGGGGTCTGGAGTCATTACAATTTAAAAATGTGGGGAGGGGGCCCCGTAGACCTGAAACTCAGCTCTCTAAGGAACCCCTGCTCATGTGGTGCTGGGACCTCTAAGAAAGAACGCCAGGCAGCTGGTGCGAGGGTCTCTGAGGGGACGTGATGGTGCTTGTTCTGAGTGCCGGAATCTCTTCACACTGGACTCAACTGAAGCCTCCAAAACAGACTGGCATTTTGAGGATGGAAGTACAGGAGCCACAGCAGACAGTTCGCCTACAGGAAGAAACAGGACCCTTCTTCCTCCTCCAGTCTTGCCATTACCCCAAAGCGCCACCTCTTGATGAACTCTAACAGGTGACAGCTAGTGAAGCAGAAGTGTGATTTGCAACATCACAAAGCTAGGGGTTTTAAAGTTCAGAGATAACAGTTCAATCACTGGCCCAGTGGCCCACTCAAATTCTTAAAGAGAACTGGGACCCCAAAGGTTAAAACCTCTACCTTATATTTCCTAATATTTGGGGAAAAGGATTGTTTTATGCATGGAGGCACTGCTTCACAGGTGAAGATAAATCAAAATCTGAACTGTTTTATTTTCTGGGTTCTGGTATCACATAGAACAGATTAATCTCTTATGGATGTTCTGGAACTAAACTTATGCATTTAGGCGGTGAGGTTCTATTTTTTTCCCTTGAATGTTCTGCTTCTTCCCTTTTGCTTTGCCTGGAAGGAGATTTCATTTCTTAGGATGGTGTATTGCACACCATCTGTGGTGGTCTAGAGCACCAAGATCACCCAGGGGGCCTGTGTGTGCGTCTCTCTTGCCCTTCAGGCCATGATGGATACAGAGGTTAGAGACATCTAAAGGGTCGAGCCAATCAGGGCAGCATACCCTGGCCAGTGAAGTGGTCCATGTTTAGGAAGAGAGTATCTCTCTCAGGTGGTGAAGTTGGGACACGTGAGCTAGCAGCTGCTGGCAGCTCTGTTTCCCACCATGAGGAGAAAGCCACTTTGAAGAAAGAGGGAGCGGAGCCCACGTAGTGAGAAGAGCAGAGAGAAGTGGCAGAGTTCTCCAACTTCCCAGTCCTATTTCCAGTTGCCCTGAAACAGCTGCACCATCACCCTGTGTGAACACAGGTTCCTTGTATGAATCAAATGTACTTTCTTTTCCCTTCATGTTTGTTCAAGTTGGTTTTGCCTATGATTAGTACCTAAAAGTAGCTCTGTTGTGTGCTCTTTTTCTACACCATTTAGAATATTAACCTAAAAGGGTGGTGGTACTTATCTCATAAGACTGAGGAGGAATGAGGAAATGTTTGTAAAGCACTTAGCTACCTACCGTAAAGTACCTACCATATACTACATATCACAAAAAATTGTCATGGGTCCAATATTGGATCGTTAATAGCCTAGCTTGTCACTAATCTGTGTTGTGTATAGCAACTTCTCTCTGAGCCTCTTTTACTACTTTACTATGACATTTGTTTTTCCCTTTTTCTGATACCCTGATACTGTCAAAACCCAACAAGGCATAGGGAGGTAGCTATTAACCCACAATGGCAGTGCATCGCTTCTTCAAAGACATTACCTTAGTGCAGGTGTCTGTGGGGGAAGGTGTCCATTTAGACTTAAAAGTGATTTGATTTTCTCTTCATCTTCTGTTAGGCACCCTTGCTGTTCTTCTCCACTATCACTATCTGTTGTTGAATCTGTGTCCTTATTTCTAATTGGTGATGTGGAAGCTACACATTTGAGTCTATCTTCTCTCAGTTTTTTCTTTTCATTATGTTTCTTCCAAATCTTATTATATCTCTTTTGCATGTTGGCTTCTCATGTGAAAAGTCTGGTTATTTATTTATTTATTATATTTCAGAAGATCAGTGTAATAATTTTCAGTGACGATTATAACTCTCCTGCAGGCCAGTGTATTCTTTTGAGGCATGAGATAGGAAGCTAAATTACAATCAGAAGGTGTCCTGGGCCGGGCACAGTAGCTCATGCCTGTAACCCCAGCACTTTGGGAGGCAGAGGTGGGCGGATCACGAGGTCAGGAGATTGAGACCATCCTGGCTAACAGGATGGTCTCTACTAAACCCCGTCTCTACTAAAAATACAAAAAAAATTAGCCGGGCATGGTGGCAGGCGCCTGTAATCCCAGCTACTCTGAAGGCTGAGCCAGGAGAATGGCGGAACCCGGAGGCGGAGCTTGCAGTGAGTCGAGATAGCGCCGCTCCACTCCAGCCTGGGCAACAGAGCGAGACTCCATCTCAAAAAAAAAAAAAAAAAAAATACAAAATATTAGCTGGGCGTGGTGGCGGGCGTGCCTGTAGTCCCAGCTGCTTGGGAGGCTGAGGCAGGAGAATCGCTGGAACCTGGGAGGCGGAGGTTGCAGTGAGCCGATATTGCATCCCTGCACTCCAGCCTGGTGACCCTGGCGACAGAGTGAGACTCCGTCTCAAAAGAAAAAAAAAAAAAAGAAAAAAAAAGGTGTCTTGGCGATCTACCAGTCAACGTAAGAGGACACCCTTTCTCCAGGTTGTTTGATTTAGCCATCACTGCTGCAGACTTAAGAGGATAAAAGTACTTAGTTCTTCAGAAATTATTTTAATTTATCAAACCAGACAGCTAATGATTATGCAATTGCTATTTCAAATGAATAATTTAAAAATAAAAATAGAACATAATTGTTTTATGTGTCTAAACAACTATCTCTGCCTCATAAATACAAAGATATGGGGATGTACTCAATTATCAAAAACAAAAGAGAACAAAACAAAACCCAAAAAAGCATGTGGGAGCAAGTAATGTCAAGAAAGATTTCCTACAATAATCAATGGAAAAATTGTTATTAGGGAGGCAAATGGATTCATATGAGTTTTGCCAAGCTTGGTCAAGTGTAGCATTATCAATTTGATACTTTCAGCCACACAGGCTACATTAGTTGAGTTGATTTAAACTGACCTTCTAAGTGACTGAATAACTATGTTGATTGTTCAGCTATTTGGATCACACATGCACTGTTTGAGACAAATTTCAAGCTGCATCAGTGCAGTGAGACAGAGTGATATAATAATGATACGTCTACATTTCTATCTTGTGCCCCAACCCTCCTCTGCCTTCTTGGCTTATCCATCTAACTGGCCACTGGACAGTCCACATGAATAGCTACCTGATATGGTTTGGCTGTGTGTCCCCACGCAGATCGCATCTGGAATTGTACTTCCTTAATTCTCACGTGTTGAGGGAGAAACCTGGTGGGAGATAACTGAATCATGGGAGCGGATTCCACTATACTGTTCTCGTGGTAGTAAATAAATCTCGCGAGATCTGATGGTTTTATCAGTGGTTTCCGCTTTTCCGTCTTCCTCATTCTCTCTTTGCCAGCTGCCATCCACGTAAGTTGGGATTTGCTTTTCCTTACCCTCCTCCATGATTGTGAGGCTTCCCCAGCCACGTAGAACTGTAAGTCCAAGTAAACGTTTTTCTTTTGTAAATTGCCCAGTCTCGGGTATGTCTTTATCGGCAACGTGAAAATAGACTAATACACCACCTTAACACATTCAAAACAATTCTCAACTTCTTTCTGAAAAATCTGCTACTCTCTCTTTTCTGTTGGGCCAAATGATACCCATTGTCCAACCTTTTCTCAGGTCAAAATCCTAAATTATTCTTGGCTTCTTTCTTTTGCTCACATTCCATAGATGCTTCATCAGCTGTACCTTCAAACAATGCTCCAGTTCTAGATATGTCATATTTTAGCACCCACAGTGCTCCTATCTGGTCCAAGCCTCCCTCATGTCTCTCCTGGATCTGCAGTAGCCCCCTAACTGGTTCTCTCTGCCTCTCAGACTCTTCACCATTCTCCACAGAGCAGCCACCCGGGTGGTTTAAAAAGATAAATCACCTCACATCTTTTGCATATTCAAGATAGTCAATAAGTATCCAATATACTCAAAATAACATCTAGGTGATTTTTGTTTTCTTATTTATATTTCCTATAATTACCATGTATAGTTTTTATAACCTAAAAAACATTTTTTTTACATTTTTACTTTTATAAAGGATGTACCATTTTAAATACAAATGAAAGAAAGTATTTCTTGGTACAGGTTTGCTTTCTTTAATCACTTTTTTTTTTTTTGAAACAGTCTCACTCTGATTCCCAGGCTAAATGCAGTGACACAATCATAGCTCACTGCAACCTTGACCTTCCAGGCTCAAGCTATCCTCCCACTTCTGTCTTTGGAGTAGCTGGGATCACAGGTGTGCACCACCACACCCAGCTATTTTCTTCATTTTTATGTTTTGTAGAGACAGGGTCTCACTGTGTTGCCCAGGTTGATCTCAAACTCCTGGTCTCAAGCAATCCTCCCACCTTGGCTTCCCAAAGTGCTGGGATTACAGATGTGAGCTGCCACACCTGGCTGAATCATTTGGTTTGATACACTTACCGTGATGCTGACTTCAGAGGCTTCCTTTTGTTGTGACTATTTTTATTGCCAATTAGATAAAAGATAGTACTCAGTGACACTGGAAGACAGCATATTACAGTGGAAAAGTTACAGGTTTTAAGCCAAAAGACGTAGGATTTAGTTTGTCAGTGGAATTGCCACATGGCTTTAGCCAGTTGACTTAAACTTTCTGTCCCTCATCTAAAAAAAGTGAGACTAATAATATCTGGCTTACCTACCACATAGGATTTTTGTGAAGATCAAATCAATATTAGAAAGTGTTTGGTAAAGTATAAAACACTCAATGAATGCTAGTTAAAAACAACAGAATTACTCAATAGTCAAATAGTGTGTTGTAAAATCTGCAGATGGTGTAATGAATTACCTTAATCACTTATTAAAGTAAGCATTCAAATGAGTATTGCATTTCTTACATGTAATAATAACCCAATATCCATATGCATAAAGGATGATTAGATTAGTAGATGTCAGATGCTAACTGAATAAAAATTAGAATGACAGATGTAGAGTTGGAGTAGCTCTGCTCATTAGAGGAGAACTGTTCATAACTCAGAGAAAAACTTTGCCTTGTTAAGTGAATAGGCTTTCTTAAATACTGTGAGGGAGCAGTTAAGAGCATAGACTGGGCTGTGAGTGGAAATAGTGCTCTGTTCTGGGTAGGGAGAGAGGTAACTGGTAGTTTTTCCCCGGAAGCCATAGGCTGATCTTGAGAAAAGTGGTCGTCTTGTCAGGCGGTTCTAGGAGAAACTTTGTTTTGCTAGTCTTGGAAGCACCATAGATACTAGAAATGAGGCCTCAGGAAAAAAGCTCTTTGCCCACTGGGAAAATTTAGAGTTGGAGCCTTAGAAGAATGAATAAGAAAGGTTTTGAGATGCTTATTCAGTTTAAAGCAACCCAACATTTACTGAATACCAGACATTGCTAGATCCATTTGTATATTATCATATTTGATTGTTAACATGCATTTTTAGGTAGATGCAATTATCACTTTACAGATGGGAAAACTCTAGACTCAGAGGAGTTACAGAAGTTGTTCAAGATTGCCCAACTAGTAAATGAGCAATTTGGGATAGAAATCCAGTTCTGTTGCCTCTTTACACTATATCCTCTTAAATATCAATGAACTTCTGTGTAGTAGAAGCCTTGTATTTGTTCATATTAAAGATTTTCAGTGAGATCGATATGAGGATTTTTTTAGGGATATTAGCAGTCTTTGATACTAGGGTGTGATGCTATTGGAAGAAACAAACCCCAGTAATGTGTGAAGCTGCTTTCTTTAACAAAGGAGGAAAATTAGAATTATGGCTCAGCCTCTGAAAGATTATCATGATTTTTTTCCAGTCAGATATTTTCTTGGCAAAAAACTATTTTGCTGTTTTGAATATAGCCTTTACAATATCCAAAAGAATCTTATCAAATCAGTGTGTATTATGTAAGGAACCAAGGATTTTTCTGCACTAAAAGCTCTGGATGGTTTCATTCAGGTGTAGGCAAACAGCATAGCTGCCTATAATTCATGACCTGCTTCATGGAGTCAGGGACATTATTTGACAAGGACACTGTTTCATTTACATTTTTCTGCTCCACAGAACAAAACAGAATACATGATTTCAAAGAGAGCTTTTCAGTCATGTGGGCTTCTTTTCAAATACTTCAAGACAAGATTTTTGCACTGGGGCGAATCCAAGATTTAGTAAAATCCAGCCTTCTTTTCACAAAGATTCACATTTTTTAATGTATTACGGACATACATTAGGTGCTCCTTTGAATTTTGTTGGCCCCATATTTTTATTAGAAAAAAAGGCTCTTAACACCAAAACAACTGAGACTTTCTTTCAATTTATGTTGAACTAGGTAAGTAAAATCTAAGAGTATGGAAATTTTATACTTTATTTTTCCAGCAATTTACAGCTAGGGTCTGTAACATAAATTTGTAAAAATCATCTGTCCATAAATATAGTGATAGTTTAGGTTCTATTTATTTATTTATTTATTTATTTATTTATTTGTTTATTTGAGACAGAGTCTCGCTTTGTCGCCCAGGCTGGAGTGCAGTGACGCATCTCGGCTCACTGCAAACTCCACCTCCCGGGTTCACGCCATTCTCCTGCCTCAGCCTCCTGAGAAGCTGGGACTACAGGCACCTGCCACCACGCCTAATTTTTTGTATTTTTTTAGTAGAGACGGGGTTTCACCGTGTTAGCCAGGATGGTCTCGATCTTCTGACCTCGTGATCTGCCCACCTCGGCATCCCAAAGTGCTGGGATTACAGGCGTGAGCCACCGTGCCCGGCCCTCTTTAGTTATTTTAAAATAAAAATTAGTCTAGCTATCTTAGCATGGAAACAGTGATGGATTGTGTATGAACTGACCATGTATAGTACAAATAGTGTACTGATATTCTAAGTTATCTAGAGTTAACAATACTTTAACTTAATGTCTTGTAAATGAAATACTTATTACAAAGTTATGTTTTAAACTATTCAGAAAAAATTAAAGACAAAATAGTTAGGCGTCTTTTTCATGTGGCCCCTGAAATCAATCAATGGACCTCAAACTACAGTTTAAGAAATGATGTTTTAGAGGAAGTCCAAGCATTAGTTAGCCATGGTGTAAGAATGATAATTTCCATAATCTGTAAAATTCAGTCTTTTTATTGTAAGAATCATTAATTGTATGATTCAATTAGATGTCAATAGCTTTATCTGATTGAAATCAAGGATATCAGATACCCTATTGTCTGACAGAATCAAAATGCCCTTTATGATGAATGCAGCCGTATTCATCTGAGAGCTTGGTTGGGACACCTTGGTTTGTCACATGGCCTCTTTCTTTAGCAGGATAGCTAGTACCTCCTTGCAGTTGGCAGTAAGCCTCTTAAGAGGGAGTGAGCTGATGTATAAGCCTCTGCTTGTATCATGTTTGCAAATATTCCATTGATCAAGGCAAATATATGGCCAAGCCCACATGGGAGGGAATTTTAACTGGGTGTGAATATTGGGAGGTGTGGTTAGTTGGGGGCTATCACTGTATCTCCCACAGGCTGCTACTTCTCTCTTAATATCTCTTGTCCTCTTCCCGTTTTCCTTGGTAATAAAAGTCCTTATTTTTAACAGGATGCATGGCCACCTAGAATAAAGACTACTTTTCCTATTCTATTAATAACATTTATCAAATTATGGCTGGGATGCTACATCTTTGAGCAGTAGGATTCAAGCAGAAGTGTTGTATGGGACTTCTGAATAGTGTCTTTATTATGCATGTATTGCTGTTGGACAAACTTTCACCAAATGTGGCAGCTTAAAACAAAAAATATCTTTATTTTCTTACACAGTTTTCAAGAGTCAGGTTTTGGGAGTATCTAAGCTGGGTGACTTTGGTTTAGCGTCTTGTGTGATTGCAGTCAAGGTATCCAGAAGGGCTGTAGTTATTGAGATGTTGACTGGGCTAGAGGATCAATTACATGGTGGCTCGCTTGCATGGCTGTTGGCTGGAGGTCTTAGTGCCTCACTGGCTGTTGGGAGGAAGCCTCAGTCCCTTAAATGTTGCTCTCTCCGTAGGGCTGCTTGAGAGGCAGCTAGCCTCATGCCATGGCAGCTAGCTTCTCCCAGAGTGAGTGAGTTAAGAGAAGGAAAAAGAGAAAGGAACCAAAATGTGTTTTATGACCTAGCCTTTGAAGTTGCATATTATAACTTCTGTATTACTTTGGTCACACAGATCAACCCTGAGGATTGGGAAGGAATTATACATACCAGGAGGCAAGGAGCACTGGGGGCCCTCCTGGGACTGCCTATCACAGCGTCCTTAAAGGTAAAGTGTAGATGTTTCTTCTTAGTTTGAGTTTTGAATAATTTTCAATATTCTAAGCAGTTATGTGAGACAAAACTGAGCAAACCAAATTCTGTATAAAAGATTCTCCACAGTGTAGCTAAGCTCCACTTTTTTGTATGCTTCCTTCTTATGATAGGGAAACAGAAAAAAAATCATTTCTTAAAAGTGAAAAACTGTTATGACAATATTAACTGACAATTCTGTTCTCTAACCTAGTAGAAATGTTTTTGGATTGTTTGAAAACACTTAAGAAAACATGGCCTACAATAGAAACATTGCTGTCTTATTCATATTCACTGCAGAAATATTACAGATTATTGTTGGCAAACTCATCTTTTTTAAAAAAAACTATAAATGGGGCAGTATAAACTGTGTGTGGTATGAAAATGAATTTTAATATTGACCACTTTGGCTATTGCTTCCTGCTGTATTCATAGCAGAGCTCTTGGTTAAATCCTATCTTTAACACATCCAAGAAAATACTGAAACTGTTTACATAATTATTAAAGAGAAGGTCACATCTTATCTGTTTGGCACAATGGAAATTTTGATAATTTAATTCTATCAGTGGATCAAGGCATTGACTTTGTTTCAGGGATTCATGGTTTTAGATTCCAGTTTGTCCTTTCCTTAGCTATGTGTCGTTCATATGCTCTAAGAGGCAGTTCCCTCATCTGTAAAATGGGAGTAGTATCAAATTCACAGGGTGCTGTTATGTATAAGATCAGATACATAAGGCTCATTGTAAGCACTTGATAAATGGAATTGTTGTTAGCTAAATATTCTTTAAATCTTTATTAGGATTAGTGTCTTTGGTGAATGCTAAGCATATTGTCTAACAAGACCTTCCCTTTAAGACAACTTACTCTGTGTGTGTGTGTGTGTGCATGTGTGTATGTATTTAAAAATAAGAGATTAAGCCACTGAGGCGCTAGAACTAAGAAAGTATATTTCCATTTTGAAAGCCTCTTCTATTGTAAAATTTCTTTTAGCAACTTGAGTTGTGTTAATATAGACAAATAACTAGAAACCATCCATTCATCCATATATCTAGCCAATTATTTATCCAACATTTATAAAGTCTTCATTATGTGGTGAGCAATAAAAATGCAAAGAATAAGATCTTACCCTACCTTTAAGGGTTTCACAATCTAATAAAGATTTATATCAAAGAGACATATAAATATAATTAAAGCAGTGTTTCAGTTGCTATATTTGTAATGTATCAGTTATTAGCTGCTTATGACACTAGATGCTTGCACAGGAAGAAGCACTTAACTGATCAGGAGAGGATCCCTAAAGGGTTGATGCTTCAACTAGGCCTTGAAAAGTGAATCGTTTCTTAGATGGCCAAGGAAAGAACTGGGGGTATCATAAGGAAAGAGGACTTTCTGGACAGAGGCTGTGCCTGTGAGAAGATAAAAAGGATCAGAAGAACATGGTGTATTCTGAGGAACCTCTATAGTTTCAAATGTCATGACTGTGGAGTGCTTAAGGGTGGCAGTCAGGGCAAGGCTAGAAAGGTAGGAAGGGCCAGATTATGAATAAGCTTGTGTGACATGATAAAGAATACAGACTTTACCCTGTAGATATTGGTGAACCATTACAGGATTTTTAAGAGAGAAACAAGCAAATTAACACTTCCACTCCGGTGGCAGTGTGGAATATAGACTAGAGGGCTTGGGAAGGGAGGCTAAGAGACCTGGGGGGAGGCTACTGCAAGCATCCAGAGAGTCATGGTGAGAGACTGAGCTAAGGCAGTGGTGCTGGATATGGAGGAAAGAAAATGTGTCTGACTGGCCTGTGTGTGGGGTGAGGGGTGGGGAGGGGATAAGTGGTGAGAAAAATTCTTCCACTGATAGGAAGAGCTAGTAGTGGAGTTCTAGGAAGAACTCTAGAAAGACCCTTTTGGGTTTTGATTTGGGTGACGGAGGAGGTAATGTATATCATTTTGGACATGACAAGTCTGTTGTGCCAGGGGTAATCCTAGTGGAGGCATCCTGTACCTATTGGATGAATGTAGTTCAGGGATGGAGGGTGCGGGAGAGGCTCTAAGTCCAATCCCTTTTCATCAAGCAGCTGCATGTACACAGCAATGAATTTGGCTCTTAGAGTGGAGCCTGCTGTAGATGTACTCTGAGGTAGATGCCTTCTACCACCTCCTCACCTTTTAGAATACATTATTGGCTGCTACTTTTATCTAACCCGTGTCTACCTCTTTAGCCCTACTTTCTACTATTTTTTTGTATTTATCTTTTATCCTGGTTACTCCAGACAACATGCAGTTTTATGGATAGTTTTATACTATTTTATGAATCCATCATGCTATTCCAAGTTCAGTGTGTTCACAACTGTCTTCTGCTTTAAATTCTCTTCCCACTTTTTACAATTCATTGAAATTTCACTTAATAACTGCTTTCTCTAAGAAGCCTGCCTGGATTCCCTGTCTTTTTAAGATAACTTTTTGTGCGCAGTTCTTAAGTGCACAGCCTGTTGGACTTTATATCATTCCAGGACAGTATTTATAAATATTACATATTATAAGTTTAATATTTTATATAAATGAAATTATCTATTGATTACTTGCAATATCCCATGTCAATGATTTATCTGATTTACCTGTACATATGAATGGGAGTATACTATACTTACTTTTTAGACCACTTTCTGCAACAAACAATATATCATAAACAATTTTCATGTTAGTAAATATATGGCTTCACTATCTTATAGTTATATGGTATTTTAAGATTTTTGCATTTATTATATTAATGATTTTTAAAATAGCACTATTTCCCTATCTCTCAGTTTTAAAATTTACTTGTCTATCTTTTCCTGCAGATTGTAAGGTCCTTGCTAGCAGGAGCTAAGTTTTGTTGGAAGGCAATTCTCTGGATTGCTTGTTTCCTGCACATATTGAGAACAGAGACTGATAGTCTTTGTTCTGGACTATTTTTTTTAAGGATGTTTATATAGTAAATAGCCCTAGAAGTTATAGTGTCTTCCTCTGAAGCAGAGAGCATGCATGATTACTAACTAGTATAATAAGGATAATGTTCACCTTCAGAACAAATGTTGGGCAAGTTTGCTTGCAGCCCATTATATAAGATTTGAGTGTCCTAGGCTCAGAGTGCCTTAACTGTGACCCAACCCTTGTGGGACTTTGGGGGATGAATGGAACTGTGTTCATGCTACTGGCTCTTCTCTAACAAAGCCCATTGTCTGACTTAATAGTCTAGTGACTTTTCCCAGCATCCCTGAAACTGTGACAGGCTCCCTTGTCAGCTTGCAAGTAGGGTTGAATCTCACACTTTTCAGTGTATATCTCAGTACTTATTGTTACTATTTATTATTATTGTTTTAAAAAGCTAGCATTTACTAAGTGCTTACTATGGGCTAAATTTTACAGGCATTTTTTTTTCAGTTGTCACATAACCATGAGTAGAATGTTATTTCCTCATTTTATAGATAAGCAAATTTTATGGAGATGTTAATAACTTGTCAAGATCATGTCATTAGGAAGTGATGGAGTTGAGAATCAAATCCAGGCCTTGAAGTCCCAAACTATTATTTTGCATATCACTACAGAATAGCTAAGTGGAGAAATCATCCCAGGGATTGTTAGTACTATAATTGGGCTAATTTCTTAATCTAAATGAGTGAATTCTTTGGTTTAAAGAAAATAAACACAGGGTAGAGGGACCTTTGTGCACCAGGAGGCCTTTCCCACCCTCCTCAGATAAGATGACAAGAAATAAATTATATATATATATATATACTCAGCCTAGCTGAGGGGAACAGGATATACATGTTGGACATAATCCTTGCTCTCAGGGATCTTGTAGTCTTGTTTGGGAGGTTAAATTTACACATATTAAGCAATTAGAAGAAAGTAAGATAGTATGCAATTAAGTTCCACATTGAATGGTTCAAGCAACAAGTAAGTTACTAGTAGAGAGAGAGCTATGAACAATTAGGGCTGTATCCATTGGAAAAGATTTGTGGAGGAGGCAGGGCTTGAGCAGAGCCTGGGGGAAGGGAAAGTCAGTTCCATGGGGAGTCAAAAAGCCTAAAAATTCTAGGAGAAAATAACACACTTGTTTTCTGTTCCAGGAAAAAATACTTCTCATGCCTGATTTATTCCTTATATGGAAAGAACAGTTTTGCAGTTTTGTGTCCTTTCAAAAATCACAACATACAGCCACACACACGCGCGCGGGCGTGTGCACATACACACACACACACACACACACACACACAAACACACACACACACACCATACGCAAAGATACGAAACCCACCATGCTATTTTCTCATTTGCACTTAACTCGAGAGGTTATGAGTCTTTTTTCCTGGTGTGGATGTTGCCACAGGCTCCTGACATTCTTAACTTGATTGGATCCCTGCAGTGCAGTCTACTTCAGACTACCTTTTTTAGACCACTTGAAAGTTTTTCGATTTATTCAGCAGAATATTTCAGCCTGTCAGCTTTGGAGAGCTAGTGCCTGCAGAAGATATATCTTTCCTCTGCAGGTGGCACTGCCTGCCAATTTTTCTTTGGGGTGAGCTCTTGTTCGGAAGCAGCCGTCTGTGGTTTGAGTACCAGTCATATTGCAGTTGATCTCCTTTTCTGTCTACTGCTCTATCTGGATAATGGCTATACCTGCTGTGTGTGAGTGGAGAGAGGAGCCTACTGTATTATTTCTTTGCTTTGTGATTAGCAAATTACTTTTTGCTTAAACTGGGTCATCCCATCTCTTTTTTCTTGCCTGAGCTATTTATCTGCCTCTATCATTTCCTAGATGTTGATATCAATGTCACTTTGCCTTAGATGGTGTCCCCTGCGTCCTTAGAGTTCCTGCTGTCTTCTCTTTGATTATTTGACATCCACTCTGCAGAATGGCTTCACTCTCCTCCTGCTGTCCATCCTCATCATATAAGCAATATGGTTCAGCTGAACTTCCATGAGCCTTTCCCACTGGGCTTCAGAGAGGAAGCAGAAAAATTTCCTATGAGATTGTCAGAGACCTTTAGAAAGTACCCCCATTTACTCCTGATAGCACAAGACAGAGCCTCAAGGCAAAACATACTTATTTCTGTCAGTTTTACTAAGTGGATTTTATGAGATGACATTGACTTCAAAAGTAATCATGAAGGAGGGAAAAGACTTCCTTTTTTCTGGAGTTTTCTTCCGCTTTCTCTGTTCTTTGTGAATGTGAATTTCCTTCTGCACAGCAAATTACCAGGGGATTAATTTTAAAAATTTAACCAAATTAATTATAATTCCAGGCTATGTCTTAAGGCATACTAAGCTCTAGTAATGGAAAAGTCCAGAAGAGGCCATTGAGCTCCTTTTTTTTCGTTGTGGGAGGGAGGACCCTTGAGCATCCCAGACAGAACAGATGGGTTTTAAGGGTATTTATGGGTGTCTTGTAAAACAGGGAGTGGGAGAAGATGTGGCTTATGGTAGATGAGTCTGTTTTTAACAAGTAACAGTTAGTAGTAATGAAGATTGTACACTATTAATAAAACAGCTAAGAAAAGGACTGGAGAATTATGGTAGCTAATGGTCTGAAGAACATTTACTATAAACCTGATTTTATGATACATTTTAGAAGAGGAGTTTGATCATCAATATTCACTCTCTCATGACATGTTGCACATAAAGTCTGATCCCAGGAACATTTTTAAAATACCTTCTAAAATTATAGAAGACAAGAAAAGATAGCTTTCACATGCTAGGGAAGTTCTCTGAAGCTTTTTGCCACTCTTGAAGTAGGAATCTTCCATCAGATTATTTCCACTAAAGATTTACCCTTAGGGAAAACTCATAAGAAAGTGAAAATGTCAGCTCACAGAATATTTAAACTTCTGTAAAAGAATGAGATATTCAATCAGGTGGTTGGTGGCTCACAGGTGTCTTGGTTTTGAATTTCATGATAATCTCAAGGAGTTTTTGTTCACAGTAGAGTTACAGTGTTTGGTCTTTTAGTTACATCTTTAACTTATGAGGAAAGTTCGCTCTTTTCTGCTCACAGGTGGTGGCAACTATCAGTTGAATCTTCCTTTGAGGTGCTAATGTTAGTGAAAACTCTTTCACCTCACCCCAGGCACTGTGGGCAGAGCTGTGATTTCAAGCATGGCTAGTAAAATTAGTGCCGAGATATTTTCCTTCCGTTATGTCCCTGGTTTCTCAGGGCATATTTTAATTTGGAATAAATAGCCCTGGCTTCCCTTAAACCAGAAACAGATAGAAGAACTTCATTGTATTACAACTCAAATTGCTGTTTTTTTCTAGCTCTCAGGAGCAATTCCTAATTCAGTCTGAACTGAACAATGAAGAAATGTGTTAAAGAAGGAAAGATAAAAAGGGTATTTGAGAACTTTTAAGTTTTCTCTAAATCAAATCTTCAATATGGGATTTTGTTATTAATTTTTGCTTTGTGTATACTCCCAAAGCATAAACCACCCTTGTATTCAGAATAATTATGAAAACAAGAAAACACATCCCAATGGTATATATACTTTATTTGTGGGTTACTTGATGTTTTCTACCATATCTCTTCTTTCTGCCACTTGTTAGGTTAATGATCTGTAAACTATTGTATTCACTCATGTGTTGGTAAAATACTTTGAGCATGCACTCCCCAAATATCTTTTTATATATATATGTATTTATACATTAAATATACTTACCATTATGCTAATATATGTACATTAAAATATGTACAATAATTTAAAAATAAGCTTAAAAATGTATTTTAAATATCTTGCCCATGTATATGTGTGTGTGTGTATTTTTTTTTTAAGGGATGGAGTCTACCTCTGTTACCCAAGCTGGAGTGCAGTGGCACAATCATAGCTCACTACAGCCTTGAACTCCAGGCCTCAAGTGATCCTCCTGCTTTGGCCTCAAAGCACTGGGATTACAGGCATGAGCCAGTGCACCTGGCCTTGTTTCAAATATCTTGATAATATCATTTGTTAATAGCTTATGGCATGACAAACACTTAAGACAAAGGTAATTGTTAACCATAGTAAATGTAAATTCATATTTTATTTTTTCCTTTAAAAATGGTTTGTAATTGACACATAATAATTATACATATTTATGGGGTACATAGTGATGTTTCAATACATACAATGTATAGTAATCATATCGGAATAATTAGCATATCCATCCTCTCGAACGTTTTCCACTTTTTTGTGTTGGAAATATTCAGTATCTTTCTTCTAGCTGTTTGAAAGTATAAATTATTAACTATAGTCATCCTACAGTGCTATAGAACACTAGAACTTATTCCTCCTTTCTAGCTGTACTTTTGTATCTTTAAAAAGTCTCTCCCTATTCCCCACACCCTTCTCAGCCTCTAGTATGCTCTATTCTACTTTTACTTCTATGACTTCAACTTTTTTAATGTTTTATATGTTTTTTATTGATATATAATAGATGTACATATTTTCTGAGTACATGTGATAATTTTATACATTCATATAATTTGTAAAGATCAAATCATGGAGACTGGGATATCCAATTTTTTGATATTTAAATGAAATATTTATCTTTGCTTTATGCTAGGAACATTCAAATTATTCTCTTCTATTTTGAAATATTCCATAGATTATTCTTAACTATATTCACTCTACTGTTCCACTGAACACTAGGCATTATTTCTTCTATCTAACTATATATTTGTACTCCTTAATCAACCTTTTTAAATAGTTTCCTGTCCCTACCCCTCCTGGCCTTCGATAACCACCAATCTTTCACTATCTTCATGAGATTCACTTTTTAAATTTCCGCATGTGAGTTAGAACAATGCAATATTTGTCTTTCTTTGCTTGACTTATTTTACTTAATATAATGTTTTCTAGTTCCATCCGTGTTACTGCCAATGACAGAGTTTTATTCTTTTTGATGGCTGCATAATATTCCACTGGGTATATATGCCACATTTTCTTTTTTTTTTTTATTTTTTTTGAGACAAAGTCTCACTCTATCACCCAGCCTGGAGTGCAGTGGTGCAATCTTGGCTCACTGCAACCTCTGCCTCCCAGGTTGCAATTCTCCCACCTCAGCCTCTCCTGAGTAGCAAGGACTACAGGCACACACCACTATGTCCCGCTAATTTTTGTATTTTTTGGTAGAGACAGGGTTTTACCATGTTAGTCAGGCTGGTCTCAAACTCCTGACCTCAAGTGATCTGCCCACCTTGGCTTCCAGAAGTGCTGAGATTACAAGTATGAGCCAATGTGCCTGGCCTCACATATTCTTTACCTGTTCATCTGTTGTTGGACACTTGGGTTGATTCCTATCTTGGCTATTGTGAATAGTGCTGCAATAAACATGGGGATGTAGATGTCTCTTTGAAATACTAATTTCCTTTCCTTTGGATTAGTACCCAGTAATGGGATTGTAGTTTTCTGAGGAACCTCCATACTGTTCTCTGTATTTGTTTACATTCCCACCAACAGTGTACAAGCATTTTCTTTTCTCCACATCCTTCCCAGCATTTGTTATTTTTTGTCTTTTTGATAATAGTCATTCTGAGGTGAGATGATATCTCATTGTGGTTTTGATTTGCATTTCCCTGATGATTAGTGATGTTAAATGTTTTCTCATATACATGTTGGCTATTTGTATGTCTTCTTTTGAAAAATGTTTGTTCAGATCATTTGCCCATGTTTTTCTTTTTTTTCTTCTTTTTTTTATTATTATACTTTAAGTTTTAGGGTACATGTGCACAATGTGCAGGTTAGTTACATATGTATACATGTGCCATGCTGGTGCGCTGCACCCACTAACTCGTCACTTAGCATTAGGTATATCTCCCAATGCTACCCCTCTCCCCTCCCCCAACCCCACAACAGTCCCCAGAGTGTGATGTTCCCCTGCCTGTGTCCATGTGTTCTCATTGTTCAATTCCCACCTATGAGTGAGAATATGTGGTGTTTGGTTTTTTGTTCTTGCGATAGTTTACTGAGAATGATGATTTCCAATTTCATCCATGTCCCTACAAAGGACAAGAACTCATCATTCTTATGGCTGCATAGTATTCCATGGTGTATATGTGCCACATTTTCTTAATCCAGTCTATCACTGTTGGACATTTGGGTTGGTTCCAAGTCTTTGCTATTGTAAATAGTGCCGCAATAAACATACATGTGCATGTGTCTTTATAGCAGCATGATTTATAGTCCTTTGGGTATATACCCAGTAATGGGATGGCTGGGTCAAATGGTATTTCTAGTTCTAGATCCCTGAGGAATCGCCACACTGACTTCCACAATGGTTGAACTAGTTTACAGTCCCACCAACAGTGTAAAAGTGTTCCTATTTCTCCACATCCTCTCCAGCACCTGTTGTTTCCTGACTTTTTAATGATTGCCATTCTAACTGGTGTGAGATGATATCTCATTGTGGTTTTGATTTGCATTTCTCTGATGGCCAGTGATGGTGAGCATTTTTTCATGTGTTTTTTGGCTGCATAAATGTCTTCTTTTGAGAAGTGTCTGTTCATGTCCTTCACCCACTTTTTGATGGGGTTGTTTGTTTTTTTTTTGTAAATTTGTTTGAGTTCATTGTAGATTCTTGACATTAGCCCTTTGTCAGATGAGTAGGTTGCAAAAATTTTCTCCCATTTTTGGTTTGCCTGTTCACTCTGATGGTAGTTTCTTTTGCTGTGCAGAAGCTCTTTAGTTTAATTAGATCCCATTTGTCAATTTTGGCTTTTGTTGTCATTGCTTTTGATGTTTTAGACATGAAGTCCTTGCCCGTGCCTATGTCCTGAATGGTAATGCCTAGGTTTTCTTCTAGGGTTTTTATGGTTTTAGGTCTAACATTTAAGTCTTTAATCCATCTTAAATTGATTTTTGTATAAGGTGTAAGGAAGGGATCCAGTTTCAGCTTTTTACATATGGCTAGCCAGTTTTCCCAGCACCATTTATGAAATAGGGAATCCTTTCCCCATTGCTTGTTTTTGTCAGATTTGTCAAAGATCAGATAGTTGTAGATATGCGGCGTTATTTCTGAGGGCTCTGTTCTGTTCCATTGATCTATATCTCTGTTTTGGTACCAGTACCATGCTGTTTTGGTTACTGTAGCCTTGTAGTATAGTTTGAATTCAGGTAACGTGATGCCTCCAGCTTTGTTCTTTTGGCTTAGGATTGACTTGGCGATGTGGGCTCTTTTTTGGTTCCATATGAACTTTAAAGTAGTTTTTTCCAATTCTGTGAAGAAAGGCATTGGTAGCTTGATGGGGATGGCATTGAATCTATAAATTACCTTGGGCACTATTGCCATTTTCACGATATTGATTCTTCCTACCCATGAGCATGGAATGCTCTTCCATTTGTTTGTATCCTCTTTTATTTCCTTGAGCAGTGGTTTGTAGTTCTGCTTGAAGAGGTCCTTAACGTCCCTTGTAAGGTGGATCCCTAGGTATTTTATTCTCTTTGAAACAATTGTGAATGGGAGTTCACTCATGATTTGGCTCTCTGTCTGTTGTTGGTGTATAAGAATGCTTGTGATTTTTGTACATTGATTTTGTATCCTGAGACTTTGCTGAAGTTGCTTATCAGCTTAAGGAGATTTTGGGCTGAGACAGTGGGGTTTTCTAGATATACAATCATGTCGTCTGCAAACAGGGACAATTTGACTTCCTCTTTTCCTAATTGAATGCCCTTTATTTCCTTCTCCTGCCTAATTGCCCTGGCCAGAACTTCCAACACTATGTTGACTAGGAGTGGTGAGAGAGGGCATCCCTGTCTTGTGCCAGTTTTCAAAGGGAATGCTTCCAGTTTTTGCCCATTCAATATGATATTGGCCGTGGGTTTGTCATAGATAGCTCTTATTATTTTGAGATACATCCCATCAATACCTAATTTATTGAGAGTTTTTAGCATGCAGGGTTGTTGAATTTTGTCAAAGGCCTTTTCTGCATCTATTGAGATAATCATGTGGTTTTTGTCTTTGGTTCTGTTTCTATGCTGGATTACATTTATTGATTTTCATATATTGAACCAGCCTTGCATCCCAGGGATGAAGCCCACTTGATCATGGTGGATAAGCTTTTTGATGTGCTGCTGGATTCGTTTTGCCAGTATTTTACTGAGGATTTTTGCATCAATGTTCATTAAGGATATTGGTCTAAAATTCTCTTTTTTGGTTGTGTCTCTGCCCGGCTTTGGTATCAGGATGATGCTGGCCTCATAAAATGAGTTAGGGAGGATTCCTTCTTTTTCTATTGATTGGAATAGTTTCAGAAGGAATGCTACCAGCTCCTCCTTGTACCTCTGGTAGAATTCGGCTGTGAATCCATCTGGTCCTGGACTCTTTTTGGTTGGTAAGGTATTGATTATTGCCACAATTTCAGCTCCTGTTATTGGTCTATTCAGAGATTCAACTTCTTCCTGGTTTAGTTTTGGGAGAGTGTATGTGTCCAGGAATTTATCCATTTCTTCTAGATTTTCTAGTTTATTTGTGTAGAGGTGTTTGTAGTAATCTCTGATGGTAGTTTGTATTTCTGTGGGATCGGTGGTGATATCCCCTTTATCATTTTTTATTGCGTCTATTTGATTCTTCTCTCTTTTTTTCTTTATTAGTCTTGCTGGAAGTCTATCAATTTTGTTAATCCTTTCAAAAAACCAGCTCCTGGATTCATTAATTTTTTGAAGGGTTTTTTGTGTCTCTATTTCCCTCAGTTCTGCTCTGATTTTAGTTATTTCTTGCCTTCTGCTGGCTTTTGAATGTGTTTGCTCTTGCTTTTCTAGTTCTTTTAATTGTGATGTTAGGGTGTCAATTTTGGATCTTTCCTGCTTTCTCTTGTGGGCATTTAGTGTTATAAATTTCCCTCTACACCCTGCTTTGAATGTGTCCCAGAGATTCTGGTATGTTGTGTCTTTGTTCTCATTGGTTTCAAAGAACATCTTTATTTCTGCCTTCATTTCGTTATGTACCCAGTAGTCATTCAGGAGCGGGTTGTTCAGTTTCCATGTAGTTTTTTGGCTGTTGAGATGTTTGAGTTCCTTTATATTCTGGATATTAATCTCCTGTAAAGTGAATAGTTTCCAAATATTTTCTCATTCTGTAGGTTATCTTTCCACTCTGTTGATTTCTTTGCAGTGCAGAAAGTTTTTGGTTTGATATAATCCCATTTGTTTACTTTTGGTTTTTCTTTTGCTTATGTGTTTGGGTCTTATTCATAAAATCTTTCCCCACACCTATGTACTGAAGAGTTTCTCCTGTGTTTTCTTCTTGTAGTTTTATAGTTTCCATCTTACATTTAGGTCTTTAATCTATTTTGAGTTGATTTTTGTATAGGGTAAGAGGTGGAGGCCTAATGTTATTCTTCTGTATAGGAATGTCCAGTTTTCCTAGCATCATTTATTGAAGTAACTGTCCTTTCCTCAATGAATGTTCTTGTTGCCTTTGTAAAAAATTAGTTGGCTGTAGGTGTGTGGATTAATGTCTAGGTTCTCTATTCTGTTCCATTGGTCTATGTGCCTGTTTTTATGCTAGTAGCATGCTGTTTTTGTTACTGTAGCTTTGTAGTATATTTTAAAGTCTGGTAGTGTGATGCCTGCAGCTTTGTTCTTTTTGCTCAGTCTTGTTTTAGCTCTTTGGGTTTTTTGTGATTCCATACAAATGTTAGTATTTTTTTTTTCTATTTCAGTGAAGACAGTCGTTGGTATTTTGCTAGGTATTGCATTGAATCTATAGATTGCTTTGGGCAGTAGGGCCATTTTAACAGTTAAATTCCTATTTTAAATAATCCTCTTGATACATTAAAATTATTTTTGGCCACCAAATTATTATCGTTTTTATCTTACAAGGAAAATTTTATGTAAAGAGAACTGTCAGCTTTGTCATTTATTGTTAATTCATGTTTACATTATTAGTATCATATTCAATATGTGGTCTTTGGAGGAGTGTTTTTAAACTACTTGTCTAGTTTAGGAGAGTCCTTTAGCTAAAACTAGAAAATTATCTATAAATCTGAATAGCCAGTCACATTTTAAGTACAATATATCTACTACACTAAAAGGAAATGCACGAGTGAGGCATGACTTTTAACTCCTCCGTATTGTGGAGCAACTTTTTCCCCCAGTACACCTCATCTCCTGTATGTGATGGTGACCATGTGATACACAGATGGGCAAGGACGTGAATGTTCATCTGAATATTAAATGCTAGAAAATTGATAAAGCTTGTCTTTTTTTGAAGATAAAATGAATAAAAATTTTAATATTTTCTTTTCAACTCATATGGATTGTCTTGTGTACCCCTGAGAGAGAGATTGCCAACTTGGAGACAACTCTTTTTAATAGTATGAATTAATAATCTGAAAAATCTATGTATCTATTTAAGGTGAGTACTATTTTATTTTATGGTAATAGATATAAAGACAAAGTGTCATAGTCAAGAAATTCTAATAAGTCTTCAATTAAATAATGTATCTATGATTCCCTATGACTTTTCAGAATCACTTCATTTAACTCTGCTACTCTGTATGAATTCCATTAAGGACTAGTTTTTAGGGAAGAGAATTCCAGCAATTAAGTTCTAATTAAGCTGTTTAAAGTATAGGTTAACTAAAATATGCATTTACTGAGGTATAGTGTTAAGCTCATTAGGTGACATTTATGAGAAATTCTGTCAGTCTCTTGTGGATCTAATGAATTCTGATAAAATACCTCAGAACTTAGCTTGTGAACTGCGAAATGGCTCTAATGAAGATACAGCTACAAATGCTCTGGGCTGTTGGAAAGTGGAAGTGTTTACTAATGTAATTGGTCTTAGAAAAAAACTGATTCAAGAAAAATGGGCATAAAAGAGATTAGGGATGTTATTTTGGAGAGTGAGAACATCTAAAACAAAACTTAAGATTACTTCTCCTTTATTTTAGATAATTAAAAAGATTTGTTTATTACATAAATTTGGAAATCACTATTCTACATAGTTATAGGATTAGAATTAATTTTTTCGTAAGTACGTTCTTAAGACCTTAGGGTATAATATATTTAACTCTGGGAAAGATAGCAATGGTTTTTCCCCAATCCAGGAATAAACATGAAACTGTTTGTTTTCTCTATTTTTTTCTCTAAATATTTTGTACTTGCCTTCTAACTTTTGAAGCCATATGCCATGGTAGAAGCAGTGGCTGTATGTTTTAGAGACACCAAAGGGCCCCCTGATGTTATTTGCAGGAGCAATTTATCTTTAGGATAGGATTTATGAATTTTTTGAAAAGTATCTGAGCTATTCAAGTTTATTTTTACAAAGGCTAGTATCAGTAGGTGTGACTTCTTAAGATAGAATTCTGTTAAAATTTTTATCCTAAGTCTCTTTTTGTGTCATTGTATAAAATCAGGAAGTGTATTTGGGAATAGGTACAATAAGGACTCTTTCTTATCCTCAAAAGCTTCTTGATAATAACATTTTCTTCTTTCCAACTTATGTTGTGAGGAACAGTATGTCTATATAGACATTTAAAATGTTGGATGTGTTCCATTCACATATTATATATCCTTTGGACATCAAGCAGATTTTGAATTCTCTTGTAGTGTGAGCATCACACCTTTTTTTTTTTGTCAAAGTGCTATTCGGCTTTTGTTCGTTTAGCATTAAAAAAAAGATATCAAAATCTATTAATGCTTTCTATGACCTTTTATAGATGAAGACAAGGCAAAAAAAATTTTTCCCAAAAAATCAATTTAAATTATTACTATAAAATTTCTGAATGATCTGCTGTGCAATAGGGGCATATATTTTCCTAAAATTAAGACTTAAATAATAGGTTTATATTGACTATCGATTAGTAGCAAAACTTTAGAGATGTCCATGAATCCTCATATTCTGGAAGTTGCTAGAAATATAGAGGAAATTAAAATTAACAGTCTTGTACCAGATTCTTATTGCCTATACTTCATATTTCTCTGTATTTGTAGCTTGTAGTCTCTGCAGAGTCTTTTCAATTTGAATGGTAAAGAATAATGGCTGCCAAACATAGCTAACCATTAAAATCATGGTTGTTAGGAAACAAGATCTCCAGCCCCATCATTGATTCAATGATCTGGGGGCAGATGGTGAGGGTGGGGGAAAGGGGCATGCAGAAATCAGCATTTTAAAACCTCCCCATGTGGTTCTGATAATAAACCAGATTTGGCTTAAGTATCGAAGTGGTCATATTTCTTATTACAGCAATTAGAAGGAAAAGAAAAACTTCATGGTTTTAAAAGGGCAGAATTTCAAGCAATCACAGTGTCAGTGCACGTAATAGAAGACATTTACTTCAATAAGTTTGCTGCTTATTGCAATATCCCTGTCAGAAACAATGTGACTTTGTTCCTGGGTCACAAAGCCTGGCATACTTAATGAGAGGGTGTAATGAGAAGGCAGTCATAGCCCCTTGGGAAGAGGACTAGAGGAAGGCCATCCTTTCTGATTCTGATAGATTGTGGACAGAAAGAAGGAGAAGGGAGAGTCAGTCAACAGTATGTCTAATTCCCTTCCTCCCGTTAAGCTCTGATGTGGAAGAGAGTTACTTGGGTTTAAGTGAATAATTGTGGGAAGCAGCCCAGATTTATTGGCCGGCTTCCCTGGACTTATAAGGAAACAATTGCAGATACTTAGAGGAAAAGTAACCTTTAGCTCAGTGCCACAGCTTAGCATAACATAATTGAGATGGTGTAAGTCATAGAAAAGGAAAAACAGGGAGTAAAATTCAAGTTTTGGGAATCACACCAGTAAAAATTATTATACTATATCTGAAATTTAAAAGTAAGATGCTAGATTACCATATAGAGAATTTACAAAATAAATGGAAAATATCAAATTTAACACCTCATGAGCCCCTCATGTAGGGGGTCTCACATTCACATCAAGACTGTAAAAAGGTGGTGAAAATGGACCTAGGGAGACTGTTAAAGACAGAGGAGAAGGTGAAGAGGATGTGTATATGTATGTGTGGATGGGGAGTAAGAGAGTTTCTATCTCCTTCACTTCAAGCTCAGTTTGGGAGGAGGCTTCAATGGGATCACTCAGTTTGAAATGTATTCTCTACACTTGGGTAACACAGAGAACAATGCCTGTCTGCAACAGAAGGGTAAAGGTGGCAGTGTGAGGACAGGCTAACACTTATAAGCTTGTTGGAACTAAGGATGTATGAGCATTTCCCATGTTGGGGATGTGGAAAAGAGATCTTCCTGAGTTGGAAGTATGAGGAATCTTTTAACAGTGAAAGTCCAAAATTGAGTGGGGGCACTATAAAAGCCAGGGGCTCAGGAAGGGCAGTTGTCCACATGTCAATGTGGCCAGAAATGGAGGTTTCCAATGAGAACACTCTCTAAGGAACCCATAAAAGCCTCTATGAAGAAGAGTCAATATTAAAACACACTCCAGAAGGCCCCCTTATCACGGAACAATAGAACTTGCCACTGTCCATGGCCTTTTCTTAATGCACTCTCCATGTGGAACCAATCCTGGGAAGTTCTGCATCTTGCTGATCAAGCTGGTGGAAGAAGAGTAGGATTAGCCTAGTAAGAGAGGCTAATCCTTTCCCACTGTAAGTTGTCAGCTTAGGCCCCAGCAAGTGAGAGCAGAGGGGATACTAGTTAAAGTTGTGTTTAGAGTTTTGATTATCACATGAACCAGCTTAATTTAGCAAATCAGAATTTTTTTTGAATTGTAATGACTGAAGGATTGCTTATATGCGTGAAAGTTTTACATCTATGGGGAGGGAGTGGAAAGATATTTTATTAATCTTAAAAGTGTTTAAAAGAAGGGAAATAAAAATGAAAATTGTGTTTTAATCACACTGGGTTAGCTTAATACAACCATTTCAGATAGGCTGATTGGTAAAGGGATGTGGAAATGTCTGTGTGCCCTGGGGAGGGATGTGGAGGTGCAGAGAGTGCTGGTTGAGTGGTGGAGTCACAAGGCAGCACTATTCTGTACTATAAGACTAGGGGTAAGGAGTAACTTCAAGGACTTCACTTTTAAGAACAAGCAAGACATCTTCCTCTCACCAAAAATAGAAAAATAAGTGTAACAAAAATATTGACCTAGTGTAAGTGTAGTACCAGAAGACCAGACCAGTTGCTCTGCAGAGATGACCCATAGATTCAGGTCCCTTTTCCCAAACTCTGCTGGCTTATATGTCATACGCTACTCCCTTCACTTGGTACCATCTTGAAGAGGAGGAGAGGATGGGTGCAATGGAACTGGACAATTTATTGAAGTCATATAAGCAGAGACTGAGTTACCTAAAGAGGCAGCTTAAATTATTAGGTCAAATGAAAGATACTGCAATGAACTAAATTTTAGTTTTTCCATGCTAAATAATTACTGATAGTAATGGTGGTTGTAACAATGGTAGTGAAGGGTAGTAGTTATAAAAAAAGGTCAGAACAAGTTAGAAAAAAAATTATAGCATAGTATGAGGGAATTATTTACTTTTCTCCATTTGTGGTCATTTTTTCTTGTAGTATTTCATTGGAGGAGGAAGATAAATCAGGTAGCTGCTGTGTAGTACAGGCTCAATGCTTATTTCTTTCACTGATTTTAGGGCAGTATTAGGGATCATACATTACTTTGTTTCTTGGGCTGGTGAAGAGAGAATCTGGTGTGGGAGAGAAGAAAGACTGCACTGGATGAGAGTGGAGAAGTCATAGAATGGCTTATATTTTCTCACCAAGCAGTCAAAAATAGCGAGTGGCTTCTTCACATTAGTTATGTTTTGAATGGGTCAAGAGCCAAGTGTGTTTAGCTTTTGCCACCACATACTTTCTCAAAGAGAAGGAGGTGGGGGGAGGGAAGAGGTTGATTTATTATTGTAGGGGATTTCTCCTTGATTTTCTTTTCCTTGATTTTATTTCCAGAATGGAGCTAATGGTATTGAAGATATGCAAAACTAGGTGGTATTGTTCAAGTATACTGATTTAACACTTCCATTTTACAGCTTTTATTTTAAAAAGGGAGACTGAGAAAATTTATTTTACAAAAAAAGTGAGGCTACTGAACTTCTTGATTTCTTAAGAGGACCACAAGGACTTAATAACCTTAGAAGTACAAGCTACCTTGTAGATGGCTGCAGGATGGCAGAATGTCTATAAGAGTCATGGATATGGATTCTTTTAAGAAATCAATCATCTTGGGTGATCAGACCATATTATAACAGACAAGGCATGACCTTTTTCCTGGTTAACCTATTTATTTTTCCTCTTGTGTTTATTAAAGAGTCTATTTTCAAGGTGGGGAGGATAATATAGGCACATTATTTAGACCTAATAAATGATTGGTAACATGGCTTTTTTTTTGAGAGTGCTTTGATGGAGTTTTGTTTGTTTTAACTTTGAGGGTTAGTATTATTTTTAAAAAAAGAAGAAAAAGAAAAGGGAAAAAATTATGAACTTTTTGGGACTTCATGATCTTGCATCAGCATGTATTTAAAAGCCATTAAGCATCTTGATTAGTTTGGAACATGGTATAAAGACTGTTACATTACTGGTTGCTGCAGCTGAATACCGGTTGCAATATTTGTCACAGTAAAATGCACCAATCAGAAAATGTGGGAAAATTATTATACACTTCAGTGGTTGATTTGGCCTAGGTATTGGACATAATGAGAGTCATTTAAAGAAAAGTATTCAAAGGGTTAGATACTATAGAAGGGATAGCAGTTCAGCTGTGGTAGACATGACCACAAAATAAAGTGTGGAATTTCTTAGGCCACACATAGAGATAATTTTCCTTATTGAATGATCACACTTTGCATATGTTAATGACTTTTCCTTACATCTTTAGGTTGAGCGATCACTCTTAATGAGTTATTATTATTATTTTTTTTACAAAAAACGCCAGCCAGGCATGGTGGCTCATGCCTATAATCCCAGCGCTTTGGGAAGCTGAGGCAGGCAAATCACCAGAGATCGAGAGTTCGAGACCAGCCTCGCCAACGTGGTGAAACCCCATTTCTACTAAAAATACAAAAATTAAGCAGGCATAGTGGCACATGGCTGTAATCCCAGCTACTCAGGAGGCTGAGTCAGGACAATTGCTTGAACCCGCGAGGCAGAGGTTGCAGTGAGCCAAGACCACGCTACTGCACTTCAGCCTGGGGGACAGAGCAAGACTCTGTCTCAAAAAAAAAAAATCCCCCCAAACCCCCAAACTTTTCTTCAGCATACTAATTGACATTGTACATACTAATGACGTTGTACGTCTACTTTAATTGGAAGGTTTATGTTCACATTTAATATACCAATTCATTGTGTTCTGAAATAAGGATAACATGACGTCACTAAAGTCAGAATGCATATGTGTGACTTCAGATCTTATTTAAAAAGTCAAAGTGGGCTTTCATTGCAAACCCTGATTTTTCTGGACATGGATCCTATAGAACATGCTCTGTTATGCAACAGCTGCTTATTCAGCCTGATTTTCTACTGGCTTAGTTTTCTCCATGGCATCCTTAGGAAGCCTGTTAAGAGGATTTCTGACAAAAAAAAAAAAAAAGACTCAGAGATCCAGCTATCAAAACATGTATCATCCAACCACGCACTGGAGTCAGCAGAGGTTGTTGGGAGGCAGGGCTGGAAAAGACAGTGACAGGTTTCAGAATGAGCTCACAGGCTCTGCTCACTCTCCCAGAGGACTTGATTTTTGAATTGAGCAGGATTAAGTGGCTTTGGGAGGACAGAAGCTAGTATTATCTGGGGAGTAATAACAAGGCTCAGCCACTCTGTTACCCTGAAAGGAATGTGAAAACTGTTGTGTTTTTCTATTTGGTGTTTTGTTTCATAAGTTTTGGGAGCAGAAGGCGGCTAGGATTGCCCTGAGTTCTGCAGGTTAAAAGTATGAACAATGTGTTAGGAGCTCTTTAAATTTAAAAGGAGGCTCTTTTCGAAGTTTTACCTGAGCAAAGGGTAGATAGGCATCAATCTTCCCAGATACTAGTAACATATAGTGGGAATATGTTTGTTGTAGAATATATTTGATTTAAGCATGCAGATATTTTACTATCTTAAAATTATATGTATTATTTATAAAAATATATGACATTATTTTATAAAGAAAATGATTAAAAGCTCCTAAATTTCCACCTCAACTTATAACATATAGGAAATGTGCCAGGTGTATTAGGATGAAGATATACTGTGATATTGATAATTGAACTATGACGTAATTCCAAAAGAGTGGGCCAACCATACAAGAATATCTTGGTGGAATTTTAGTTATAGTATTAGAAATGTAAACTTGAAGGTGAAGTGAGGTTTTCTCTGGGGATGGAGATTAGGGAGCATAAAAAATGAAGACAATGAACTTAAGGAAAAATGTGTCCATTTAATCAGCATTTGTTGTACTTTTAAAAAATGGCTTATTTAAAACAGGTTTTTTAGGTTAGCTCAAAAAAAATTTTTTTTAAGTATACAAAAAGTTACATATTTCTTCCTCTATCTTCCTCTTACCCATCTCACACTCTGTTCACCCACTCCTGCTGGTAACCACTGCTATACATTTCTTATATGTTCTTGCTGTGGCAGATTGTGTTTCCAAAGATGGCCATCCCACCTGCTCTTTTGCAATGTGACTTTGCCACTTCCCCCATTAAGAGATAGAATCTATTTTCCCTCCTCTTGAATCTGGGCTGCTCAGTGTTCTAAGCTCTGTATAGGAATTAACTCATTCGAGCCTTACAAGAGCCATATGAGGAGATACCATTATTATCCCTGTTCTATAAATGAGGAAACAATAAAGGTAATAAGCCAAAGGTTACTTAAGAACAACATTCAGAGAGTAGAAATTATAGTATATACAAGAAGAAATAGAACCTTTAATTCATCCACAGAAAGCACTCAGGAAGTGTTGGTTATTATTAACAGCATTTCAAATATGTTATTTCTATGTTAATTTTGCATAATTTCTTATTTCACATTTTTCTAATTTTCTAACGTATTATTTTCATTGTTTCAAAATAATCTTCCATTCCCTTTTTTATTGTTTTACTATTATTCACTTTTCTTTTCAAGTCCTTAATTCTGTATCTAAACCTTAATCCCATTTAGTTTTCCATTTTTAAACTCAAATTTTAAAAAATTCATTACCTCTTTTGCATTCCTGTTTTTAGTTTTAAAAATTCTATTGTAATGGAGACTTCTCAACTTAAATCTCATCTCGTATTTCCTTATTTTTAACTCATTATTTAATTCTTATTTGGAAATTAGTTTTTTCTGTTTTTAAAAATTAATTTTGCCTTTTTATTGTATTTTATTCTTAGTATATTTTGAATCTTTTAAGTTTCTTCTAGTCTTTCATGGTGAGAGTTTCTGATAATCTTCGTAATTTGTCTCTCTCACAAGTAACATCATCTAGTATATAAGACTCTAGAAGCCTGTAATCTTCTACCTTGAACTGGATGATCTGGGACAGGTTTCTACACTTTGAGTAGTGAATTTGATGGTTTAAGCTACCTTTAGTTGTACCTTTTGAGATCCATTATCTTCCCTATATTATGGAATGTGGCCAGTTGGGGTCATTAAACAAAGGACACTGATGTAGTAGCTTTACTTGTTTTTTTATACATACACCTGCAAGAGAAGTCAAAATACTCACTTTGCCATATTCATGTTTTAGGTTTTTTTTAAAATTGTTCCTGATAATTGGTTAAAAATGTTGGCTGAGATTAGGTTTAGGCTCGCTGTTGAGTTCCTTGATCATATGACAAGGATTTTTCTTAACAATGAACCATTATAGTCAAGGTAGACTCTGTATTCTGGACACAGGCTGGTTCTCTTTTTGCTGATACTTTAGTTTCTATTTATTCTACACACACTGTAATTGAGCTTATTATTGTTGGTCACTGATGACCAGAAGTGATTTCAAATTCAAGGAGGCATTTTCTGGAGTGATTGCAGTAGTTCCTTTCTCTGTGAGCCTTCTCGCTTCAAGGCAGATGCATTAACATTACTGAAGACTTCAGACACATTTCTTCTCTGGGGACCAGCAATCTAGACCACTGAATATTAAGCCTTCTTTGCTTATACCATCTCAAGATAGATGCCTTGAACTAAATATTTTTATCTTTGGAAAAAAAGTAAACCATAGCCAATACTACCCGTGGTGAGAATAAAGAGATTAGAGGACAGAGAACACTATGATGACCAAAGGGACTTTAAGATATATTGGTTTTCGGTTGTGGTCACAACTTACAATGGTAGCTTAAAAGGAGATTTCACCTCTTATTTCCTCTTAACAGTTTTGATAACTTAAAAATGGTTTGATACATGTGGTATCCTAGAAAATGTAGAAATCACCTTCTAATGCTTGGTTTGACAAAGACTTTTAGGTAGCAAAGAAAACAAAACAGTACAAAACAAAACAAAACAAAATTAAACAACAAAAAGAGACTAGTTAGTGCTTGACATATGAAACAAAAATAAAAAATTTCCACCTGCGATTTTTACCACATTTAAACTCTATAGGGACCAAAAGGAAAGTTCCCCTTGGCCCTCTGATGATTCATTGAAAAATTGACTCAAAAAAGGCATATTAATTGGAGAAAAGGCATCCAAATTCATTTAATATATACACATAGAAGTCTTCAGAATGAAGACCCAAACATACAGGGAAAATTGTCCATTTTTATGCTTCGGTTCAACAAAATACGGACATCCATGTAGAAATATAATTGAACAAAATGTGTATGATCTAATGCTAATATGCTGAGTGGGGAAACCCAGCAAGGCCTGTCTGTCCAGATTGTTCTTGGCCTCTCTGAACACGCACTTTTTCCTCTGAGTGTAGATCTGAACCTCTCTTGAGTGGGAGGGTCTTATGACCTACAGTCAAACAAGGTAGGTCAGATAAATTTTTATGACCAGTTTTCACACAGCAAGGTAGAGGGAAAGTTAGAAAAATATTTTTAGGTTTTCTGGCTGGCTTTGGGGAAAAGGGATTCTGTTTTCTGTAACCCACCTTGGGGAAGAAGGATTCTAATTTCCATGTCTAGCTTTGGGGGAGAATGGAACTTAGAGATAGGAGGGCAGGGGAAGGTCAGGGAAAAAATTTTTCTTTGAGGCTGATTCTGAGGCCTTCATTTTGGGGTATTACTTTCTGAGTCCCAAGATTATCCAGTCTGAAACTTCTCCAAGAAATTTACAGTCCAGAAATTGAGTTGGTGGACCATCTTATAAGCAGCTGAACCAATCTTTTCAATCCCATGAATAGGCCAGTCCAATTAAACAGTTAACATCTGTGTTTCATTTCAGGCAGTGATGTTGTAGATGGCCGTCCACCAAAGTAAGGCCTCTATATGATCTGAGCAACCAGATGTTTATTAAGAGATGTTTCTATGAAAATAAAAGAAAAACAAATGTTAGCGGTTAGAACAAACTATAAACTCATTTTTTTTGAGTCCAGATGGCAGCCAATCATGAAGGTTTTTAGATGTTGGGCTTGAAGCATCTTCAGGAAGTGAGAGCAGATAGTGGCAACCTGACACATTTTTCCTGGTTTGTGGTTTGCCTCAGGTGTTCCAGTGAGCTTTCTGAGCAGTGTATTTATCAACAGGCACAGAGTCTGTTCATATATTAAGTTGCTGTGATGATTTTTTTCCATGTTTGTATCAAATTTTCTGGCTTCAGCTTCCAGGGCTTCAGGAAAAAGTGTTTTTAATTTTAGTGATTCCAAGTGATTCCAAAAACACTTCAGGAAAAAGTGTTTTTAATTTTAGTGATTTCCAGAAAAATGGAAAGAAATTTGGAAATATTAGTAATATTAGTTTAAATACTTGTAGACATGAAAGAATTCAAGGTCCACTCCAGATTTGTAGGGAAATAATAAATATTAAAAAGCAATGGAGAAAGCTAGAGTCTAATAACAGATGTACTATAGTTTTCTGCTGAAAACATAAATTTTCTCTTTCTAGTCCCCCATTTCTACCAAAGACGAATAGTAGGACTAATTTATTTGGAAAATAAGTTTTAGTCATATATTTGGCTTGATTATATATGTGAAGTTCACTGAGAATAGTGATTAGACAATATAGGCTCTTTTTAAGTTGGCTTTACTGGAACTTTTTCAAAAGAAATCTCAGATTAGTCTTTTACAGGCCTCAAGGCTAAAAAGGCAAGCCAAGGATTTGCCAGACTGTACCTATAATACTGATATAAATTGGCTGAATTCCTCTCTCTCAAGGTGCCAAAATAACTTGAGCCTGTCAGAAAGTGACATTCCTTACTTACCTTGTAAAGAAACCAGGTAGACAAGGTACCAGAACAGTCTTTCCAAGGAACTTTTTATTGACCCTATAAAGTCAACATCAATTTCTCAAAGCAGTCTGAGCATATCTGAAAATATGCCATTTTAGTTATGACTGGTGAAATAACCAGTGTCTCCATTTGTATCTTGTTATAAAACAGATAGTTATTGATAATAATTATTGATAATTATTGCCGTAATTTTTATTTTTTTGAGATGGAGTCTCATTCTTGTTGTCCAGGCTGGAGTACAATGGCGCAATCTTGGCTCACTGCAACCTTCACCTCCTGAGGTGATTCTCCTGCCTCAGCATCCTGAGTAGCTGGGATTATAGGCATCTGCCACCATGCCCAGCTAATTTTTGCACTTTTTTAGTAGAGATGGGGTTTCACCATGTTGACCAGGCTGGTCTTGATCTCCTGACCTTAGATGACCCACTCGCCATGGCCTCCCAAACTGCTGGGATTACAGGCGTGAGCCACTGTGCCTAGCCAACAAATTAAGCATATTTACAAATAGTTTCCAAATTCTGGAGAAATAAGGTAGAGAGAAAGATAAATCCTTCAGATTTTGCTTATAAAAGTATACTTTACCCAATTGGTTGTAAGCTATAAACAGTTCAAAAGGAAAAAAGAAAGTTTTCTTGACTGTGTTAAACAAAGCATGAAAAGAATCAGCAATGTTTCAAGCAAAAAGCTCAAGAAAATTATTTCAGTACTCTATCAGTTCAGTCGCAGGTAATTAACTCTTGTCAGCTTGATGTTGGGTTAGCAATCCTCGTGAACGCATCAGCTTTTCAACTAGAATCCTGGAAGTTTTTTGCTAGTCCAATGGTATGATCTCCAAGATTATCAGAAAGCTGTATTTAAGAGTACTCCTAAGAGTCCTTTTCATGAATTTCCCTAAAAAAAGAAGCAAGTTTTGGTCTGTATCTGATTATAAACTACTTTTTGAGGAGAATTCAAATAAAACAATAATTGTCTGTGGATGACAGAAGTCTTAGAATAACTGTAGTTAAAAACACATTTGACAAGAAAATTTGGTTATTTTTGTGGCATACAACAATTTAATATAATAATTATTATTGATAACATATTAAGGCATATTATCAGAATTTTAAGAATCACATACAATTTTAGAATACATATTAAGAACATATTTATACAAATATAACCTCCCCAAAAGTTAGACACTATTTCTTATTTGACATTCCTATATGATTTTTAACATATCAAATCTTGTATTATCTCTTGGACTTCCAGGGGCCCTATATCCAGAAAATTAGCTTGAGGTCAAAAAGACTATTTAGAAATTGAAATTTTGATTTTACCAATTCAAATATCAAAGGTTTAAGACAGTTGCTCAATATAGAATCACAGGTCACTCTGTAAAATAAGGCATTCGTTTAGCCAAAGCAGTAACTCAAAGATTTCAAAAAACAACAATCTTTAATCTTTGATAGAAGACTCAGTTTCCTCAACAATCACAAGACCTAATAAAGATACCATGAGGCAAACACTGAATCCATCTCTCTTTCTTGCCCCTTTTTTTGTAGTTTACTCAAAAGGTAAATAAATATCTTTTAATACCTCTTATTAATACTACCAAAAAATCTTGTTCAAAAAAGAAAAAGTTTACCTTTGTATCAGCGTTTTATTGTTAAGCTAATTTTAACAAAATCTTATAAACAAATCCATCTAATCCCAATCAGCTTTGACCACATAAAATAAGATTTTTATAAGCCTTTTGTAACCTCTTATAATTTTTCTCACTTTTAATTTCCTGAACTTTTAATATATATTTAGTTTTATTTTTCTATTTTTTTATTTAATTTAAAACAATTAAAACATTTTTAATTAGATAAAATTATTTTTCTTTTAACAAAAACTACATTCTTATGTCTTCTTATAACTTTTTACTTTACCAAAAACACATCCAACTTTTAAAATACACTTACATGTAGAATTATTTCTCTCTTATCAAGTAGGTTTAATTACATATATGAATTACAGTGTTAACTCTTGGTAACCCTTATTTTCATTGAAAAATCTAGGAAGTAAGCAGTTTTAATTATGTGTATCAGATACGTAACCCAGGACAAAGGACAATGCTCAGGGGATCTAATTTATCCCAGTATGGCAAGAAGCACAGCCAGACCAGAGGACAGGCTGGGTGTTGTCCCTAGGCCTCACCATGACCCATGGTTGAAATCCAAAAATACAAGTTCACAGATTTAAAAAAAAATATGTAATTTATTATTTATATATATAATAGAAGCAACAGTTTTATTACTGTAAAATATCTAGTAGAGATAGCATAAAACTGTCTAACCAATAGAGTCAAGCAAAAATGTCTATATTAGATTTTTTTTTTTTTTTTTGTGACGGGAGTCTCGCTCTGTCACCCAGGCTGGAGTGCGGTGGCGCAATCTCCGCTCACTGCAAGCTTGGCCTCCTGGGTTCACGCCATTCTCCTGCCTCAGCCTCCCAAGTAGCTGGGACTACAGGTGCCTGCTGCCACACCTGGATAATTTTTTGTATTTTCTTTCTTAGTAGAGATGGGATTTCACTGTGTTAGCCAGGATGGTCTCGATCTCCTGCCCTTGTGACGCACCCGCCTTTGCCTCCCAAAGTGCTAGGATTACAGGCATGCGCCACCGTGCCCGGCCTAGATTCTTAAGATGCTTTTGCTTTACCAACAAATTAAAAACTATCTTTATTTACCAAAGATTAGTAAAGTCACATGAACTAGAAAAAGTAACTAATACTTTTACTTAGTTTATGATAACTTGTTTATTTATAAGTCAATTTAATATCACACAGACAGTATATAGACAGACATATACCCATGTACACACAGATATAGACAAGCATAAATAAAGATATTATAGTTTTGCTTTTAAAATTTCAGCCAAGAGACAGGTAAAACTCACCAGTTTAAAAGGACAGTGGGATTAAATGGTGCCTCTGTAAATCAACAAGTTATGGCTGAAGACCGTAACAATTTTAGAGTAAAGGGGCAGTCAATTTACATCTCAAGGCAAAGAGAGAGAATTTGAGCTTTTTCAAGAAAGTGTTTAGTTGTGTTAGTTCGAGGAAGATTAAAAATGAATGCCAAAGTAACACAAAATCATAGGAATTTACCAGAGGATTGCATAAAGAGACCAATTTCATTTAGATAGGTAGCTTTTAATTTAATATTTTTCAACTAAACCACTGAACTCAGGGCTGAGCCCATTAAGAAACAGGGCAAACAAAGTATTTGCAGTTTTTAGGACCTAATAATTTAAATATGTGAAAAGCAGGCATAATTGGAAGGCAGAAAATCTAAACTTTAAAAATCAAGAATTTCACTTTTACATTGAATCTCAGAACCCCTCAAAGAGGGAAGTGCCACATGACCCAGCTGTACAAGGCTTTCACAGTGTGCTTGGCTACAAAGACATTTCTCTAAGTGTTTAAATTGCATCCTTTCTTATCTAAGTGTGCAAAGATAAGAGTAACCCCAGTAGTAGAAACTATTGACTATAAACAACTGCAGCTCTTACCAGTGACCTGCCAGCCACCACACACACAAAGGTCAAGGTTTATTTTTTTTCACAGAACAAAGTAATTTTCTGATACTCTCCATAGTAAAAGAGATCAGATAATGCAGTGCAAAAGAGCAGAGTTTTAGACCTGACAGACTGTCCATGACTTCTAAAACTCTATAAGGAAAGTAGAAGAGCCCTTGAAAGGGGCTGGGTGGTGCTTTTTTCTGAGCTCCTTAAGGAGTCTGAGTCATTAGAATTCTTCTCTGGATCTTTTCATTTGTACCAAAGGTGGCAAAGAGAAAGGAGGAGTAAGGAGGAGGAAGAACAGTTTTTAAGAAAGGAAGCAAACAGAGGGAACAAGCACATAATTAAGAAAAAAAAAAAAGATTTTAGTCCACTGAAAATAAAATTTCCAAAAACACAATTCAAGGAGAAAGAACAGAAAGGCCTTGTATGTATATATGTATGTGTATATATGTATATATTTATGTATTGTGTGTGTATATTTATGTGTGCATATACATTATGTGTATTTGTATATATATGTTGAATGTTAGGTTTTCATTCAATTAACGTTTAATTATAGAGCTCTTAAAAATCCTTTTAAGTCTCTTATTGTCAGATTTTATACAGGACAAACTACTGACATTTCTGGCTTATGAACTTTTTTTTTTTTATACCAAAGGTACCTTTTAAAGTCAAGCCGTAACTATCCAGAATCATCCTAAAGACAGCTCAAAGATAGGAAACTTTCTCTAGAATACTTTTTAGGGTCTCAGTTTCTCAGCTGCCTTTCTACACAAAAAAGACCAAAAAACCTTGTGTGCCTTCCACAGATAGAAAAAGACATAAAATCAAAAGCTGTCCATGGATGGGAAAAGGATCAATAACAAATAGGTACCCTGAAAAGTTAAAAGCCACACAAATATCAAAAATCAAGAGGGAATGGTTTCCTGAACAGGAATTGAACCCAGGCCATGGCAGTGAAAGCACAGAATTTTAACTATTATGTCACAAAGTGGAGTGACCTTTATTGTTACTCCCACGGGGAAACTAAAGCAGGTGGTTTGAGAATACAAAGGATTTTAACTTTGTTTTAGGTCAGATTTTTGCTCTTTAATTTAGTCAAGAGAATTTCAAAGGCTAGCCATTGTACTATTACGTGTCTTTCTTCTAATTTAATCTTCCCATCAATTGTTTAGAATAAGTTATCTCTAAAATTCTTCTTCTTCTTCTTCTTTTTTTTTTAATTCAGGAAGCTTTCTAATTTAAAGGATCCATCTTTTGTCCACTGATTAATTAGAATTTCCAACAGTGCGCTTATTCCAATAATGACTCAATCCAATAGCCTCTTCAGTGAAGAAGCAATTTCAAAGATTCCCCCAAATAGGCTAAGATAGACTAACTCTCCTAAGAGCTTGACACACTTGGAACAAAAAGTCTCGGTTTCTGGGCCATTCTCAGACTGGCCACCTAACATGACCTGAAAATGACACTGCTTGGATGGCAAGATCAAGAGAGAGTGCTCCCACAAGGTCACAAGTCAAGCTCTCAAAAATGTAAAATACAATGAGAGAGAGCCTCATTTGGTACCTCTCTTTATGACAGAACAACACAGAAAAACAAATACAATGAGTATTTCTGGGAGGAAAAGGATCAAACAATACAAATATTAACGTTGCAAAGTACCAAAAAGTACATCAGAATCGTTACACTGACTAGTTACACAAATTTTTTTCTCTCATTAATCAAAATTTTGCAGAGGAAAGGTGATTTTCACCATCCTCTCAGCTGGATTACATAGAGAGGGTGAGAGCCTGTCTGGTAAGAAATTCCTACCCTTATGCTAACTTACTGGGTCCTGGATTCTCTTCACTGAGGCTTCCGGAAGAGCAGAGCTTTGATCATCTTGTTCACAGTGTCAAACAGTTGGGGCAAAGGGAAAATTTCCCCTTCACCCTCTGAAGATTCACTGAAAACTGAACTCCCAAAAAGGCAGAGACTCCAATTAATCTCCTTCTTTATAACATGTACCGTAGCTTGATAGCCTTTTTGTGAGTTGATTTTTCAGTGAACCTTCAGAGGACAAAGGGGAAATATTCCCTAGGCCCCCAAAAACATTATCAGTGTTTTTTTAAAAAGTGGTAAAATAAAACTATGTGGAAAGCTCCAACAAACTAGTAAGAATAGATTTTGAGATATAATTACTTGAGGTACGATTTTGGAAAGTGAGGAAGAGGACTGGTTATTTATATTTCCTAGCTTTACAAAAAAATAATTTGCTCTGAATTTTATAATGAATTGCTTCGCTATGCTTCCTTGTCTTCTGTCATTGACTTAAGAGTTTAAGATATTTGTGGACAGATTTATCTTTTGAATTTTTCAGACTTCACATGGTGTGTTACAATTTCTTTCAATTTCTTTGTTAATTAATGCCACATTTACCCTAAAATATAGTCCATCTTTTCTTTTTTAAAGGAAAAATTACAGATCTATTAGAGTATAATACAATAAATTCCTTTTACAATACAGACCATGTTCTTCTTGGTGAATTGCAAATTTGATTTTTTATGTTAATGTCCCCCCCAACCAAACAGGCAAGATTTAAGCATCGTTATTCCATTATTGACTTATCATACTCTGTCACCTCGTAGAAACCTGTCTTCACAGCAGTGTGAACTTGTTTACAATTTTGACAATGTAGACAAGAATTAATTGACCTTAAATTTGTAAGCAGAACTTAATTATAGCAAAACTAAATTTGCATTCCCCAGTTATTCATGTTTGTATTAAATTATGCCTTAAATATTATGGGGAGAGCTGGGGTTATTAGTAATGATATTTTGATCTTTTGATTGATCAGATAACAATTGTTTTTGTGCAAGAAGGACAGAGTTCTGATTCTCCTTTTTTATCACTTGTACCATGGATTAATAGCTGTTTTTGATTAGCTGCAAGCATACTTCCCACATAAGATAATAAGTATATTTTTAGATGTGATGATGGTGGTGATGATATGGTTTTTTTTTCTTGGCACTTTAGAATATGTTTTATTGAAGGAAATTAATGAAATCATACTTTTGTACATGCTTAACTAATTATTACCTAAGCTAGGGTAGTAACAATTTTCTAAAGTCTTACAATACTACAGTAACACAATAAACTAGCATTTTTTGAATGCTTGACGTGTGCCAGGCACTTACCCCAGGACTTTACATGTATGATCACATTTAATTCACACAATAACCCTTTTAGGTAAATACTATTATTCTTATCTGCATTTTTAAAATGAGGAAACACAGGTAGAGACAGATCAATTTCCCTGATGTCACACGGTAAGTGGCAATAATTAGAATTCAAAATCCAGTTTGACACCAGAAAGCAAATATACATTATATGATAGAAAGTTAAAGATTTGCTAACTGCCTGGTGTGGTGGCTCACACCTATAATCCTAGCACTTTGGGAGGCCGAGGCAGGCAGATTGCTTGAGGCCAGGAGTTCAAGACTGGCCTGAGCAACATAGGGAAACCCCATCTCTATTATTTTATTTATTTATTTATTTATTTATTTATTTATTTTGCTAAGAGCTTAGTGGAAAATTAACTTACTTCAAATAAAAATCTGTGATAATATCATGAAGAAATTTTCCTTCATTTAGGCAGTGTAGGTCCTCTTTAGTAACAGATATCTCCCTTAGCTGGAGGTGGTAAATATACTAACAAATATTTTTATAGGATTAATGGAAATGGCCTGGCTCTCTCATTGATTTCTCATTATCAAAACACTGGATTCTCATTTGTTTCAAAGTGGTATTTTAGATTCAAAGTACACATTTCAAATTTTTGTTTTGCTTATGCCTTCCTTTGATGCTTCCTTCACAGGCAACACATCTGCTACTGGCTTATTCAAAGAGAATTTTCCCAGAAAAATTAAAAATATTCTTCATTATACTAATGTATAAACTTAGAACTTAACAAAATAATGTTGAAGGTTATCAGAAAGATTATGTGACCCAGAAAAAAAATGGTCAAGAACAATTTGAATACAAAAATAATGAGAAAAAATGTTAACTACCAGATATTAAAATATAAGATTAAGAGTAAATTAATTAAATAACCTAGTAGATTCTCAATTTCCTATCACTGGAAGTATTCAACTGAAAGATGTAATAGAAAGGGTATAATGGAATCTGCTTACTGGCCATAAGCTGTCCTACATAATTTCCAAGGTTCCTGAAACTCTCAACTTCTGCCTTTATGTGTTAACAAAGGTGATACGTCAGATATCCTCTGCAAAACATATTGTTTTACAGTGAGATCTTCACATTTTGCCTCAAATCATAATAGGTAGACACCTGCTAAGGCTGCCAGCCTGTAACTAGGGCACCCCAGCATAGCACATGTTGCAATCTACACATCCCCAGAGGGTGTGTAGCCTTCAGTTTATCCCCTAGATATATTTGGGGATACAAGCCAGTACCCAGAGCCTTGGGTCCAGATGCCTTCTAGTATTTTGCATCTAGGGGCTACAAAACCTCACTTCCCCTAACTTGCCAAGTAAACTACACTTCATTCCAGGTCTAGAAACTGCTTTCTCCCAAGACAGTCAGGGTTTCTCCATTTATGTGATTGCAAGGTATCCTCCAGCCATCATCTTAAAAGAGACAGTGCTCCATAATCATAATAGAATTTCAGGTTCCCAACTTTACTGTGACAAACAGGAAACTTTCCTCACTGAAGAAAATAAAACTAACATAAAGTTAATCTCTGGAGGATTTTCATTCTCATTTTCTACCAAATCTCACCCATTTCAGGGGACCTTTTTATAATTCTCCTAAATCAGATCTACTGAATCAAACTTTCGAGGAGTTCAGGAATAGCTATTTCTTTGAGCAAGCTCTCCATGAAACACTTAGATATTAAAGTTTGAGAATCACTGCCCGAGGCTTTAATCACTTTACCATTGTCTCTTTTCCCATTTCATCAACATAAAACAATATTACATTATCACAATTATGCTTTCTATTTCTGTGGCTTCAGCAAGAATTTCTTATGCAATTTGAAAGAAGAGGAAGAATAGACAAGCAGCAGAAATCATGGCGTGGTGGTGGGATAGCTATCAGAAACAGCAATAGCAAATTATAGACTTTTTTGCAAAAAAGGAAGGTTAGCAACAAGGAGAAGGAAAGGTGTAGATTCATAAACTGCAGAGTAGAGGCAAACTACCGTCTTGTCAATAGTCCCTTCACCCCTGCAAGCACATACACAGAAGAAAACCTTTGCATATCTTCCTCCTACTTCCGTGCATGCTCTCTTTATTAATTCATTAGAAGGTTATGCCAGGCACTGTGTCAGGTTCTGCATATTCAACGATGAACAAAACAGATATGATCACTATCATTATGGAACTCGCTATCTGGTAAGAGAGATAAGCACTAATCCAGCAAAACTCAAAACTGTAAAAGTGCAATAAGTTCTAGAAGATATGCATGAGTGATGAGAGAGAATAATGGGAAGGTGAAAGAGAAGGCCTCAATGAAAAAGCAACACTTAAACACCTGCTAGATTAGCATGAACTAGGTAGAGAGTAAGGAGAGAGGAGCTCAGGGTGCTGGGGAAAATAGCTGTAGGAACAACAGAAAGCAAGTGCAAAGGCTGTGAGGTGGAAACAAGATTAGTGCCTTACCGTCTGAGAGACACAGTAGTTATAGGAAATGAACAAAGAGAAGGATGAAAAGATATTATGTTGAATATTCAGAGATCAACTCACACAGAACCTTAAGAACATTGTCAAGATTTTGGGCTTTAAGTGTCATGGGAAGTCAATAAAAGGTTTTAAGCCAAGACAGTTAATCTCTTTCTTTTTAAAAAAATCACTGTGGGTACTATGTGGAAAATGGATGGAGGTAGTCAAGAAAGGAAAAAAAGTGAGTATTCTAGGCAAGGGATGCTGTAGTTTATATAAAAGTGTTTGCTTGTGTGAGAAGCTCAGTAGAAAGAGGACACCAGTTACTAAATGAAAATAATAGGGGTAGAGCACGTTTGTAGGATGAAACTCAGAAATTTAACCTTGGACACATTATATTTGAGATTCTTTTGACAAATATGGAAAATATAGGTAGCATAATATAGGTATCAAGAGCAAAGAACTGTGGACTGATCTGGAGATATGAATTTGAGTTATTTGCCTAAAAGTGCTACTGAAAGCCACAGGATTACGTGAGATTATCAAAAGGCGGTGTGCTCCTAAAGAAAAGGAAAGCTAAGATGAATCCTTGATAATTCTAACACTAGAAGTTTATGGGAAAAAAGCCACTTCTATGTAACTAATCCCAAGAAACTTAACATCAGTGAGCTATGCCAAGAAATCAATCAACAGATGAGATGACTGAGATTTACCATTGTAGGACAAACTGTAAACCGTCTAGTGTTGTGTTCCATCGTGTCAACGGATATATTTTTATCTCTTTGTGCATCATAGCCCAATAAATGCAGTTCAAGGAGGAGTTGCCAGTTATTGACTGATTATTATAGCTCAGAGATTATAAAATAATCTATGTACTTTGTATGTATTAAGAGATACTGGGCTTTGGAGAACAGTGGCTAAGCATAGGGTCCAAAGCTTTTTGAAAGATCTACAACCTTGGTGCCAGGCAACAGTGTCAGTAACACTCCAACAGAAAGAAACAAGGTCAGCAGGTGTGTCATACTCAGTATCTCTCCATTCAGCTTATAGAAGATTGCTTCTGTCTCCCACTTTGAACTAAATAAGATTCCAGGCCTCTTTGCCAATTCTGGGATGCGGGCACCTTGAGAAGAAGATGCTAGGTTTTGTCTAATAGGGCAGAAGGGTGCTCAAGTGAAATATTATCATAAATGTATGCAAAGCTGATAGAGTGGGTCATATGGGTTAAATATATAACTAGTATATTAAATTAGCTTACTCAGTAGGATACAATCTAAAAATACTTCTTTGTTCTTAATGCTATCTTTCCAGTCTGCTCTATTGTATTTCACATCTCTTTGGTGGGCTGCAATGGGGTATGCTCCTATTTCACAAACAGTAGAACAAGAGTGTCTCCTAATAACAAGAGCTGGGCTCTGGAGCATGGGCAAATATAAGGAGCATGGGCAAAACCATCTTAATAGGTGAGGCCATAGCATCAGGAAGAAGCTGTATGGGGTCATGCCTTCTAGGCTAAAAAATCCCTTCAAATCCTCTTTCTCGTCAGAGTAACTCATGGATGCTCTCTTGTGTGTGGCCTTTTATGTCTCAAGTAGCTTTGGCTAGTTAGCAAGTCATTCCATTTAAAATGTTTGGGATCTTGTCATCTGTTGTGTTCAGCATTGAGTTTC